>NC_000023.11:33189985-33340342 GCF_000001405.40 Homo sapiens
GTAATCAAGGCAGAGAGCTTTATTTCAGCTAACAAAGAATAGCCCTACACAAAGGAATTGCAAATATTCTAAATAATGACTGTTATAATTTATCTTCTCTGTTGAAGGATACTACTTCCTGTTCTGTTTGTAGCCATGATAAACAAATGGTATCATGATCCTTATAGTCCAGGAAATGGACTGTTTTATGTAGATGAAATATTATTATTATAAAATCTGTCTCACATTCCAAACCCAGCCTAGGACAGGATTTATGATAACTGCCCCCCATCTATGCTGGATATCACACTATGATGACGTGTGTATTTGTATTTCTGTGAGCTCAATTCATAACTATGCAACTCTCCTGAAGCATAAACTTGGCTACATCAAAATGGCTAAATATTTGGTCTAATGTTTTTCTTTAAACTTAAATTATAAGTTTAGATTACATACCTTAACTTACTTAAACAATTGGCTGGACATTTGAAAAAATATTGATCTTTCTTTCTTTTTTTTTTTTTTTTTTTTTTTGAGACGGAGTCTCGCTCTGTCGCCCAGGCCGGACTGCGGACTGCAGTGGCGCAATCTCGGCTCACTGCAAGCTCCGCTTCCCGGGTTCACGCCATTCTCCTGCCTCAGCCTCCCGAGTAGCTGGGACCACAGGCGCCCGCCACCGCGCCCGGCTAATTTTTTGTATTTTTAGTAGAGACGGGGTTTCACCTTGTTAGCCAGGATGGTCTCGATCTCCTGACCTCATGATCCACCCGCCTCGGCCTCCCAAAGTGCTGGGATTACAGGCGTGAGCCACCGCGCCCAGCCTGATCTTTCTTTCTATACATATAAGCTTTCTGTCCAATTTATAAAAGGAAGTAGTACTAATATATAATATATAATATTATATATATATATATAATATATAATATTATATATTATATAATATATAATATTATATATATAATATTATATATATATATAATATATAATATTATATATATATATAATATATAATATTATATATATATATATAATATATAATATTATATATATATATATAGTGTACACCTATACTGCCCTAGTAAGAAATCAGGAAGTCAGTATTGATGATTTGCTCTCTACTATTTTTGTCTCTCTCCTCATTACCCGCGCAAATAAGTTTTACTAATTAAATATCTAAATATCTTTTGTTTGCATTTTGTCTTTTTCATTCCTAATGCCCTAAGGCTCTTATCTGGGATATAACTGCAACCCTCTTACACCTGCTTTTAGAACAGTGGCTCTAAACACAATCTGCACTTGGTGTGCCTGTATGTTCTGATTTCATTGGTCTGCAAGAGTTTTCACAAACCCTGTGTCATCTAACAAATAGATCTGAACCTCCTCCTTTAAAAATTCAAGATGCAAAAATAAACACTTCTTGACAACACATAGTTTGCTTTCTTAGCTTTTTTACTTTTACTTTTTTTTCGTTTTTTTTGAGATAGAGTCTCGCTCTGTCACCTAGGCTGGAGTGCAGTGGCACGAACTTGGCTCACTGCAACCTCTGCCTCCTGGGTTCAACGGATTCTTCTGCCTCAGCCTCCCAAGCAGCTGGGATTACACGTGTGCACCACCACGTCCAGCTAATGTTTGTCTTTTTAGTAGAGACGGGGTTACACCATGTTGGCCAGGCTGGTCTCGAACTCCTGGCCTCAAGTGATCTTCCCGCCTTGGCCTCCCAAAGTGTTGGGATTACTTGCATGAGCCACCATGCCTGGCCTGCTTTATGGTTTTATTTTGCTCACTGTCTAAGCTAGTACTAGGTGAGGAGTAGATGCTAGAAACCCATTGTAATATGTTGCTCAGAGCCAGCCATTTCTCTTTCCACCATTCATACCCAAACCCAAACCAAACAAGAATAATGTGAGAGATCAGCCATGCTAGGACCTATCAATTCAGTCATCGTTAAGCAACAATCACTAGAGACTTAGTACATGTGATATGTAACAGCAGTCACTGTGTAAATAAACTCACCGCCTATTGTGAGAAACAGACCTGTAAACAGTGGATAAAGGACAAGAATTGCATGCAGTTAAAGAAAAACAGGCAAAATACCCTGGGAATTCAGAGGAAGGAATGCCAAATCACCCAGTTCACCTACATCTAAAGAAGGCTTTTTTTCTTGTTCATCAAAATACTCGTGTTGGAACTAGCATGAAGAGTGTCACTTCACCTTCTTTGGCCTTTTTTACCCTTTTGTGTAAAAGAAGATTCTTGATCTTCAAAGCATAACAGTCATGTTTTATTTTACTCTATGAGCAGATTCATTAAGAATGTGAAAGTATTCCCATTCATTCAAATTAACATTAAAAGACACTCTCCCAATGAATAAGATGTCAAAAATCATGTTAGTAATTGCAGTCAATGAAATGAATGCTCTGCTCTCATGCTGCATGCCTATTTGTACTCATCGACTGAGCACTAACGAGAAATACACACCTAACTTAGAACAGCAGAAGGAGCAGATGCTTTAAGATAATATTTCTCAGTAATATGCAACAATTTAATTTCAAATACTGAACTTCTGGGCCTTGGAAATTACATATACAGGTTTTGCAGTCAAATGAGTATTGTTTAGACATATTAAATGTGCTGAGATCTAAAATTTCATCAGTTTTCAAATTTAAGCCAGAGGGGAAATATACCCTAATGGTTCAAAAACCCTCAATTTAAATTCTGGTTTATATAGCAATGATCTTGGTTACTTTAAATTTATTTCTAAGCCATGATTTTTTTCTTTTAGTGGCAAATATTACAATAATAAATTCAAGGGAATGTTAAAATCATACCCACCAACAAAAAGTAATTCATACCTCTGAAGTTAGCTATTTTAGTTGGACAATACTCTTACCTTGCGACTTATGCTATTAGATTCCTGTGTTCATCTTTTTATAGCACACAAATACACAGGTGTTCACTCACACAGATGCATTCACGTACACACTATGAAACTTGAGTTTTACAGGAAAAAAATTTCTAAAATGTGTCCAAATAAATTCTAACTGTAAAATTTCTTCTCTCGGCTGGGTGTGGTGGCTCACACCTATAAACCCAGCACTTTGGGAGGCTGAGGTGGGCAGATCACCTGAGGTCAGAAGTTCAAGACCAGCCTGGCCAACATGGCAAAACCCCGTCTCTACTAAAAATATAAAAATTAGGCGGGCATGGTGGGACCCGCCTGTAATCCCAGTTACTCAGGAGGCTGAGACAGGAGAATCGCTTGAACTCAGGAGGTGAAGGTTGCAGTGAGCCGAGATCACACAACTGCATTCCAGCCTGGGCAACAGAGCGAGACTCTGTCTCAAAAAAAAGAAAACATTTCTTCTCTCTTATGTACAAATTTCTCACTCCATTTTTCTCCAATGGGAATTTAAATTTGGAACCACTCTGAAGCTAATGTAATCATACCAGATACATAAATATTTCAATATGTATAGCAATTGATTTTGTTACAGTCTTTGATAAAAGAGATACAGTGTATAGACACAATTTTAATGGTTTCCTGCAATTGGAAAGATACTTGGTATATTCATCAATTAGTATCCTTTTTATACTTCTATTAGAAAGGCTATGTTTTTGTTTAAGTACCCAAGATTCCAAAAGTGAATTTGTATCTATGAATACAGTTTAATGTGAACAATTGAAACGCGCATGCAAAACTCAAATGAATTGTATACCTGGCAGGCAGGATGAATTGATAGCATGTTATTTTTAGAAATCTGAGTGTATGTATGCATAATTCTAGTTTTTGAAGTTATCTGAGAGTCTTTCCATATCATATTATACCCAAAAAATTAAGTGTCATCATCTAATGGTTTGAAACAAAAGAAATTTATAAGTAACTTATAATTCTTTCCATCACTTTTGGATATTAATTAATTCAAAACACATTTATAAAACTTCTTCCTAGTACAAGGAAATATTCAAAACTCTATGAGAATATAAACACATAGAAGATGTGGTTTGCGGCATCCAGGAGTATATAATCTAGTAGCGGAGATAATATAATTTTTAAAGTTATATTTCAAATAATATAGACTCAGTTACCTCATCTGACAAGTGAGAATGGTAATATATTTTTTGCCATAGTTTTTATAAAACCAATTATATGTATATTATCTTTATTGTCTTTATTATCATTATCATTCACTATAAAAGATAATGAATATATGCAAATTAATTTTTCAGTGGTAGAACTTGATTTCTAGATGTCATGAATTAGAACTCTACTCTTTTCCATTTCTCAATCAGAGTCTATATTTTCAACTTTCAAAATTGCACACCACATTTCTACAATGTGAGCCCCAGGCAGAAGAATGCTTATAAGCTTTCATCTAGGCACAATATATTATATAAGGCCTGGATGGTTTTCTGGCTGGTCAATTCTCTGCTTTTGGCATACGGAGATCAAAATTGGGTTATATGATCTAATTTAGTTGAAGATAATACAATAATATACACTTTCATTAAGAAAAAATTTAATTATGGAACTATCATCATAAAAATTGTCATAGATAAGAACAAAGATACTATATCGCATCTTTTCTTTGGTTGAAATTTTATAAGTCAAAATAGATTGTCATGTCACATACAAGCCTCTTTAACAAATCTCCTCAAAGATAAAATATTAAAGAAAAAGTTACTATGGTCTTATTAGTTTACAGAAACTTAATTTTATTATAAAAGCAGGTCAGAGGGCCTACTACTTCAGTAAATTAATGATATCACTCAAGCTAAGTTTTCTCATAAAATGCCTGTGCATACCAGATCTGTGGATTTCTGTAATACTTTGGAAATTGAAAGGGTTCAAGACACCAGTTTTTAAAAATTCATTATTACATGAATAATATGTTAACGTAATATACAAAATATAGTTCATATTCACTGGTCAATAAAATATTACAAACATTTAAGTGCAAAAATAATAAATATGAATAGGTTGTTAGACTGGCTCTGTAGATCCTATTTTTGTTTTCAGAGTCCATTCAATTCCATGTATTTGAGTCATGCAATAAACATTTCTCACCTTGAATTTGGGCATACTTGTATGGGGCTCCATGCTTGTGCACACATATTTATCCAGACACTAAGTTTCCTTTTATAAATGAGCTCAATCCCAGATTAAAACAGATGAAAGATTTCCAATCATTGTGGCCAGCTCCCAGGGTGGAAAATAAGCTTAGGAATGCAGCAAACTGAAACTGAATACTCTCTGGAATGGACATTCCGTTCTAAGTCTCCTTCAGGAAACCTCCAACAATAGCTCAAGCAGGAGCAAACACTTGTCTTTGAGGTAGTCCAAGCCAACCATTCACTTTCTCAGTAATCTGTCCTCAGACACCCACTGGACTTAGAGCTCCTGTGCCCACCTCAAAGGACAGCAGCCCTGGCATGCATGCACTATAGGAGCAGAAGTGATTCTCCAAATTTCTACTCTGCTCACCTCTCCACCACTTTGCATCAATTTGGCATCTCCTAAGATATCTCAGCTTTGTAACTCCTCAAAGGAATCCCCACAAATTGGGGCTCTTTTTTAACTTGGACATTTCCTTTGAGACTAAGAAAGAAAGAGAAAACAAAGTACACAGATAACCAAAAACACGACAGATTATATGAATCATCCAAATTAAGCAACCAACATTTTAGTCTAAGATTTATAATTTTTACAATATATTGAGTACACTGGACAAAAAAGTATCTACTTAGGATTATCCCATCCTGTTCTATTTTGTGTGTGTGTGTGTGTGTGTGTGTGTGTGTGTGTACAAAATAATGCATGCCAGTATTCATAAGGCTTTTCCAATCTGAATGATGCCTGAGTTTCAAATATGTATACAGTGATGTAATGGCTAAACAATAGTCAGATAAATGCTGTGTAGTCATTCATTTGTGTACCTACAAGCTGTTAGGCACAATTAATCCACATATAATAAGCACAGGCTATCTCCTCAAGGAGCAAGAGAGTGAGTCAGAAGCCGAGAAGCAAACTGACAGCTAAAATAGGGGATATAATTGCTTGTCTAGAATTATCCATAGTGAGTTTACAATAAGAATACATATTGGGGCCCCATTTTCTGACCTAGGGTAGTAAGGAATTCTTTTAAACAATATTCTATAAGGAAAGATAAAAATAATATTAATAGTCATTGGTGGAAGAGACATGGTGATAGTGGTTTTTGGGAGAACATTCCAAGAAGTGGGAACAAGTCATAGACACAAAATTACATGAACCAAAGTTATTTTATTTGCTGAACCAAAGTAATTTTATATCTAGACAGAAGTGTTCCTGGTGGGGAACAGCAGATCAGGAGGTGAGAGACATGAGCAGATGCCATACTGTGAAAGACCTTGTACGTTAGGACCTTGGATTTTACCCTGAAGCTAGAAGATTCTCTAAAGGACGTTAAGCTGGAGGCACACAATCTTATTTGTTTTAGAAACTCAACGGGGGCAGCAATTACAAGGTGGGATTTTCTGAAGACCAGATTGAAAGCAAGGAGATCATTCACACACGCACAAACATAAAATCAGAGGTAGTCTTTTGATCTATGTATCTGTTTATACAAGTTGGTATCCAAATGTACATTTATCTTTTAGAGTTATATACATTAGTTATTTGTGATTAACAATAATAGTTAAAATAATACAAAGAAAAATTATTCTCAACACTTTGACCCTCACCAAGAAACTTTATATATCCCCCTTTTAAAGCCAACAATAAGTAAGCTTGTGAAGGGGCATTATTTTTCCTAATTTCCTCTTGAGGACAGTAGTAGACATGCTCAGCTCAGTGCCAGAAATATGGTAGGCTCTCAATTAATACTAGTTAAATAAATATTGGCTTGTCCAGGATTACTTGCCTTTGTAGGTAGAGGCAAGTTTAAAACCCAGGTAGTCTCAGGCATTGTCAAGTTACCATGCCCGTGGACCAGCATAACTTCTAGCGCTTGTCATATAGGGTTTTTGGTCATAAACAACCTGAAACACAACACCTTACAAAGTAGGACATATAGAATACGGCCTCCATCATCATGATATTTTATTCAATCAGTGATGCACGTTCCCATATAATAGAAATGGATTGCATTCTAGCAGATTAGCATTAAACCATCCTTTGTACCTTGAGTGATAGACTTATTAATTTACAAGACTTATCCTCGATTAGGTTTGGTGATGATACCCTAGCCTTCAGAAAACCAAGAGCTTATTAAAGGTCTAATGCTGTATTTTTCAAATTTTTATTTTGCAATCATTATAGACTCACAGGAAGTCGCAAAGAAATATGCAACAATGTCTTGTGCAAACTTCACTTTACCTCTCCCAATGTTGATACCATGTATAACTATAGTACAATATAAAAACTGGGAAATTATTGCTATAATTCATAGAGCTTATTCGGGCTTTACCAGATAGACAAGTATGCACTTGTGTGACTCTGGTGTGTGTGTGTGTGTGTTTGTGTGTGAAGCTCTATTCGACATTATCAAGTGTAGCTTTGTGTAACAAACACCACAATCAAAATATTGAGCAGGTCCATCACCACAAGGCTCCATTGTGGCACCATTATATAGCATACCCTCTGCCTTATTCCTGACCTCTGGCAACCAATATCTGTTCTTAATATCAATATCTGTTCTTAATATCTATAATTATATTTCAGTAATGTTATATACAAGAAATAACACAGTATTTAACCTTTGACTTTTTTTTGCTCAATATGGTGCTCTTGACATCCATTGGAGTTGTGAATATTGAGTATCAGTAGTTCATTCCTTTAAATTGTTGTGTAGTATTTAGTGGTATGAGTATATAACAGTTTGTTTAACAGTCACTCATTGATGGATACTTGAGCTGTTTCTTGTTTCTAGCTACTGCATTCATGTCAAGGTTTTTGGGTGAACATAAACATCAATTTTCTGGGATAAATATCAAGAGTACAATTGCTGGGCTGTATGGTGACTGCATGTTTAATTTTAGAAGAAACTCCTAAACTGTTTTCTAGAATGGTTGTACCATTTTACATTCCCATCAGCAATATTAGAAAGACCCAGTTCCTTTGCATCCCTGTTAGCTTTCAGTGTTGTCACTGTTTTTCTTTTTTTAATTTTAGCCATTCTGATAGGTGTATAGTGATAACTCATTGTAGTGTTAATTTGCATTTCTTTAATGGCTAGTGAAGCTGAACATCTTTTTATGCATTTCTTTACCATCTGTATATCCTCTTCAGTGAAATGTCTATTAAGGCTTTTCCCACATTTTTTTCCACTAGATTATTTGTGGTTTTAGTGCTCAGTTTTGAGTGATATTTATATATTCTAGATACTAGTTCTTTGAGACTTTACAAAGATAGATTAAGGAAAGAAAAAGGACATGGGTTAAAAACAGTAAAAAACAAAATCAAGAACCACAAGTGAAAAGCAGTATGGGAAATCAAAAAAGGGAACAGCACCCAATGACAAAAAGCAAATCTTTATTATATATTTATATATGAAGCTTTAACCAAAATGAAAGTGCTTTGTCATATAAAATTTTCATAAAATGCAATCAAAATATCATTATTATAACATATTATATGTAAACATCTGTAATTATGTTCATTAAAGCATTACACATCAAGTAACTTATTTAAAAATATATATGGGGAAACCTAATGTGTTTGGTTCCAGGTAATAAAGTGGTGAGCAAGAACAGTTGAGGTGTCTTGGTTCATAGAACTTACCACATAATCCGACTGGCAAGTATTAATTAGTCACGTACATACATATGGAATCATAACAGTGCTATGTGTTATGAACAGATGTTACGTGGTAGAGGAATTTGATGTACTTAGGGGATTTTGATGTCTATCCAGAGGTAAGCTTGTAGGTGGAAAATGGTGTCATCAAGGTAAAAAAGGGGAAACGGGGAGGTTCTAGACAAATAGAAAAGCATACACAAAAGTACTGTAGATAAAAAAAAAAAGCTATACCTAGTCAGGGAACAAAAAGAAAGCCAGTAAGGGGGCGAGGCAAAGGAAACATGATGGGAAATGAGATAGGAGAGGTAGGCAGTGTCTAGACTTTGATTTTTAAATGTGTTTTGTTTTGTTTTGTTTGGCTTTCCTAGCAACCAAGAGAAACTACTAACATGATTTAACAAGTGGTGGTATCTTCGAATTTAATTGGCTGCATGAAGTTTAGAGAGTGGATTATCAAGAATACGAAAGAGAATGCAGAGAAACTGGAAAGGAAAGGCTGCTGTATTCCTAGTGAGAGAAAATATATTGCGCTAGGATGATGGTAGAGGAGATAAAGAGAAGTGGATGAAAATATATTAGAGGATAAAACCCACAGTGACTGGCAATGACTTAGAAATAACTGGGTAAAAAAGATCAGAGTTTCAAGGATGAGATATGTTTCTGGCTTGTGAAACTGGGTGAATGGTTGCACCATTCAATGATAAGAAAAACAATGAGAAGGAAGCAGGTTTTGTGCGGTGAAGAGAAAGTTCTGTTTAGGGCATTTAGAGGGAGGTGACTATCACATAAGAATGGAGATGCCACCCAGGCAGTTGAAATCACAGTTCTGGAATTCATTGGAGAAATCTAAGCTAGAGGTATAACTTGGTTAGTTATCTGTATATAAGTGTTAATAAAGCTGTGGACATAAGTGCAATGATCGAGGAAGAGATCATTATGAGAAGAGAATTATGCTAGGACTAGATCCCAAGGAAACCTAATTTTTAAAGGCTGAGAAGAGAGGATCAGCCTGCAATGCAGACTGAATACAAACACCCTCCAAAGTAGTAGTGAAGCCATGAGAGGACAGTGCACAGATCTTAAAGACGACAACATTTTTAAGAAGGGAGAAAATGGTCACTATTGACCTTCTGCAAGTTCAAGAAAGACGAAGAAATTTCATTAATTGGTTCTAGAGACATGAAGTCCTCTACTTCACTTGAACTTAGCAGGGTGAAGCTTGAATAGAAAAATAATGAAAGCATGCAATTAAAAGAAAAGAGAATCTCAATATCTTGTCCAACTGATGCATATAAGAGATAGAAAGAAGATAATACTTTGCTTTATTTTTGTATTTTTACCATAACAGAATTTATAATCTAATTTTCTTAAACAAATTATCAAAAAAGAAACCAACAAAGTTACTGCTAATGTTGAATATTAAAGTACTATTATTAATAGCTTCTTAATTAAGAAATAAATAATTATATGTTTGTTACAATTGGGAATGACATTTGAATATAATAAGTTGTTTTTTTTTCCCAACCGTGTTGTAGTGTTCTTTACACTTTTCAAATGGAAAAATGTATTCAGTGTTGTATTATTTATCATGTTACTGATCTTATCAGTAAAGCCAAAAACTTTCATACGTAAACCACTTAATTTCCAAGTAATGTGTATGTATGTGTGCCTCTGTGTATGTATGATAGACAGAAAGACAAAAAGAGAAGATCTATGCACACTAGTAATATTGAAAGAAATGAGCTAATTTACTTCATTCATCACACTGTCATAAAGACTTTCTTTTTTCCTAGAAAAGTGGTATCTCATACAACCTCATCTAATCTCATACACTAGAAAAATGGATCAGCATTGATTAAAATAAAATAAATTCTAACAATTTCTTATTTTTATATAATCACACATCTTAGTGTCATTATAGCAGTAAGTTATAAAAACAATGTATATTTGTATATTTAATATTAAAGAGTAGTGCTACAAATTAACCTACTGGGTCTCCGAAATATATTTCTGAATTAAGGCTTATTTCTATAGCTTATCCAAAGATCAATAACCTTACAGTTAAGAAGATGCATTTTAAATAAATGTTAAAATTTATATTATCCTGATAGTTTTATATACTAGTTAGTTACTGGACAATACTAAACAATTGATACCATGGAAACGCACATGATAATCAATAGACTTTTTTTTTTTTTTTTTTTTTTTTGAGACAGAGTCTCACTCTTTCACCCAGGCTGGAGTACAGTGGCGAGATCTCCGCTCACTGCAACTTCCACCTCCCGGGCTCAAGTGATTCTCCTGCCACAGCCTCCTGAGTAGCTGGGATTACAGGTGCACGCCACCACGTCTGGCTAATTTTTGTATTTTAGTAGAGATGTGGTTTCACCATGTTGGCCAGGCTGGTCTGGAATTCCTGACCTCAGGTGATCTGCCCGCCTTGGCCTCCCAAAGTGTTGGGATTACAGGCATGAGCCACCGCGACCAGCCAATAACCAATAGGCTTTTAATTTGAAATAAATTATTGGGGAGTATTTCTGACTTCCCTTTGCCTCCCACCCTCATTTATACATCTTGAATAATTCTGTTCCATCACGATCTCTGACATTATTTTTAAATATGTAGATATGTGTGCATTCATTACCTCTTTATGAGATGAGAGAATAAAATTGCTTGTGAAGTCAGAGAAACTCAGTATTATTTCTAATCATATATATGAGAATGCCAATGTTGACGTTATCGTACAGAGTGCACATTGCTTAACTCCAGGGGTGTCATTTACCTCATAGCATAATATTAATAGTCCACGTTACTGGTACACTCTAGAATTGTACAGTGTACACTATATGAATGTATGCAACTAAATATCACACTGTGGATGACTAACATAATGAAGATAAGAGAAAAATTAGTTTATGTAAAAAGGCAACAGTAATTATAGTAACTTAAATAACCTACTGTTTATGCCAAGTACTATTCAGAATAGTATGGCACGTTAATCTATGTAAACCATTTTTTTACAATACTAAATCATGTTCAGGTTAGCCCAGTTCTTAGCTTTTTGTTCATGTAGCACAGTTGCCTGTACATAACTGAAATAAACTCTAAAAGAACAACTAGTGAGACCACTCTAAGGATGGCTAACTGTAGATGATTACAAACAAACCAGGGCTGCATTAGTTTTATTTTTGATCTTTTTCATCTTCACAAAGTAAGAAGAGTGAGATAGTAATAAAATTGTGAAACAAGATAACTGTTATGGATATTATCATAGACAGCTCCCTATGCAAGTCTAGAGAATGGGCATGAGTTATTTAGGATATCTCAGTTTTTATCTAAGAAAATATAATATGCCAATGTCTATAGGCTTTGAGTAAACAACCCAAAATTTTAATGGGTTTTATTTTTAAAGAGCATCCTCAATGGGACATGTCTAGTTCTTGTTAGAAGATACTATGATTCCTGCCATTTTATATTTTGTTCTATCCTTTTTAGAATTCTATTAAAATCTGAGAGATCGTGACAACTGACTGGTTAAGAATCTTTAATCCTACTGTCATGCTGCCACCATTAAAATCCTGACTCTACCACGTACCAGCTGAGCTACCTTAAGCAAATTACTTAATCTCCCTGTACCTCTACATATTCATCTGGTAAATTTAGATGATTATGTTTCCCCACCTTCTAGAGTTAATATGGAACTTATCACATATGTATGTGATGTAATCAGAGAAGTGCCTGACACTTATTACAGGCTTGTTAAATGGTAAATACAGTATTATCATTGAAGATTAGGTGAATCTAGAATAGTGCTATGCACACACAAGGTACTGTCAATAGCTGTGTATGTAAGACAGATCAATGTTTCATTAATCCTTTTTGCCTCACTGCTTCTTGCAATCATTCTCTAATTCACATCTCTGTATGTCCATACTCTTATGCCTATTTATAAAAATGGATTCTTCAATGAGAATGTCCATAATCACACTATTCATAAGTAATCATTTATGATTGATTTGTACCATGCTTTATAACTTTCTTGATATTTTATAGTAGTTGTACGCATATACATATGTGTGTGTATCTGTTCTCTGACTTAGAGTTGCTGTCTCATAAAAAGCAAAGAGAACATAGGTGTTCAACAATGTTGAGTTATAAGCAATTAAAAACCTAATGTTAAAAAAAGTTGCTCAATATCATATTACTATTCTATCGAGTCTTACTTCCTCCAAAGCTAACTGATAAGTACATTACATTCATCCATGATTAGATTGAATTACTCAAATGCCTTCTATCTCTTTATTGTGATTCTGGCTTTATTTAAACTGAAATGTCAATGTTTTCTAGGTATTTTTACCATTTTTGCAGATATTGGGATAATCACTTTCACTAACGGTCCTCCAGAATTTTTAGACATTTCTCCAATAAGCATCTATATTAACTAAACTAGCATTAAATAAAGTGCAAACTTACCTTGTCATAACTATGCAATTCTGTATTCTCTAAAGGATGATTTTTCATATTACTCAACAATTCTGACTGAGCAATTGAAATTGAGACTATGATAAATGTTTTACACTGAAGGCTCATTTCATTATACAGTAGTCAGTTGAAATGGGGTTTCCGAAGAAGGTATTTTTAGGAAGTGCAGAGTACAGGAAAAAGCTGAATACGTTATACAATTTAAATATTTATTGAAGCTTTTCTACTAAGGCAACATTTTGGTAATATTCACAGAAATAGCAATATGGGAGGAAATTAGGGGTAAATAGATGGTAGAGACTGTGGAAACCAAGACACCTAATGCTAAAAGTGGGATCCTCATTCATGAAGTCATTAAATTGGAGATCGAAAGGAACAGACCTCTTTATGGAAATATTATTTTCCTTAGAATTTCATCATTTTTTCTAGATGTGTCTTCTCTGATTTTTTTTTTTTAGTGCTTTTGTCTTCTTTATTGAATTTCCGATCTCCTCTTCACACTCTATTATCTTTCTAGCTGGTCTCATCCACTCCATGAGTTGCATATTTAAATCCCTAATAATGACTTCATTTCTAGGCACAATACCCACGCGCTACATAAAAATACAAAACAAAACAAACACCTTAGCATCCACACCCCTAATCCTTCCTGTTGTTCCAATTTCCCTTCCAATCTCCTTGCAAATGGCACCATTATCCACCCAGGTGTGCATTTCATGGAGCACACAGCATGCAATACAACACCAATTCCTATTGATTCTATCTCATATACAAATCTTGAATAGATTTACTTCTTTCATCTCCACTGTCCCCATTCTAGTCCAAATCACCTTCTTTTGGATGAGCTACCGTAATTGCTTCAGATTGATAGTCCTTCATCTACCCTAGGCACTTGCCAATCTCTTTCACACAAAACAGAGTGATAGTCTTAAAAAATACAAATATGTTTACATCAGTTTTCTACCTGAAACCCATAAGGCTGTCCATTGATCTTAGTATAAAGAGAAAAATAATTTCTATAACCTTCAAGGCTCTGAATGATTGGACCCCAGTCGGCCATTCAGATGCAAGCTTGTTCCACACTTTTCTGCCCTCACTGTACTCTAGGAAAGCTGTACTTGTTTTAGATCTTTCTCCATACCATTTTCCACATTCAGAAACATTGCTCCCTCTGACAGGGACATTTTTGCTCCCTCTTTTCTTTTGGACAACTATACTCTAACCTCATTCTTCTTTGCCTTGCTTTGAATATTTTTTTTTTCTCAGAAGTATTTCCCCAATTTCGAAGACTGGTCTAACTCTCCCTATTATACATTCTTATTACAATGTGTGCTTTATTCTATAGCCCTTATCTCCAATGCAAGTAGTTTGCGTGTGTGTGTATTTAATATGCACATCCTCCTTGAAATGCTAGTCTCTCTTTGAGTTCACTTGTTTAGAATACTATCGCCAGAGCATAGCACAGTACCTGGCACAAAATGGGCACTCAATATGTGTATTTGTTACATGGACAAATGAATCAATAAATGGATAACAAATCATCAGCTGTAAGTCCCTTCTTTAAACTGTGGTCACCCAAAACCACACAATACAAGTTTTAGAGAGTCACTTATTTTGATACTTTTATTTTTGGATTTATTTTGAGAGCCAATCCATTTTCAGACATTTAAAGTAAAACACTGCAAAAGCCATAGGCTTGAGCAAAGTGAACCTCTGTGATAACACTTGGTGCTCTCTGACAGCCCATTAGAGACGGGGTGTGTACACCTAATCCAAAGGAATCCTCTAGCTCTTCAGCAGCTGTTCACATGGCTCATGCCCTGCCCTTCAGCGTCTACTAAATCAGGATTCCCCAGCTGTCTGAGCTTCCCGTAAGCGATTTTAGTTAACCACCTACAAGCCAACATTTCTTGCATCTGATTACGCTCTTTAAAGTCTAATTTCCCTTTTGCTTCCTAGTTATTTTGCAACATGTGAGTCATTGGGATTCATCATTTTTACAGATTATTATTTTTTCACTTACTCAACTAGTTTATTAATATTTTGTTCACTTAGTCACCAATTTATTTCTAATACATCGTTCTTAAGCACCAACATAAAAAGGAATTACTCAATTTGCCTTTGATGAAAATACGTGGGCCATTCTGATTTTGTGATTTTTCTTTCTTATTTCTTTAATTTTTCCTCACACAGCTTCCAAGGCTAAAATCTGCACTTGTAACAGTGTACTGACTCCCTTGCCCTTTAAGTCAGCACTTAGCTCAGGCTAAGGTACTATTGCAACCGTAATCTGATAAAGGAAGAGACAAGTTGAGTGCAAATAAAGATGAGTGCCAGGAATGAGAAAAAAGCTACTGATGTTTATGCCCTTTTATAGTCCTGATTCCATGACAGTCTTAGCCAAAAGCAGAGTGGAAGAAGGGAGAACGCTTTAAAACAAAACAAAACAAAAGCCAAGAAGAGGGTAAAAACATTTAAAGGGTAAGCATTTTATTTGCCCATAATTGGAAATAATATGGGACACCGTAATGGTAATTGTGCTCAGCTAACACTGACCTTTTTTAAAAATCAAAATTTTCATGATAGTGAAGACAACACATTTAAAAGTTGACAAATTAGCAAGAGACTTCGTGATATATATGTGAATTCCTCATTGTTGATATGCCCATGTATGGTTTTCATATTTATTAAATATAAACAAAAAACATCATGATTCGAGCATCTGATTTTTTGAAGTTTCTTTAAAATTATCTTAATCCTCTCCAAAACCCATTAAGCCATCTACATTCTCATTTCATTACATGGATAAGCATTGGCTTTAATAATGCATTTTAATGTACCTCCTCTTCGTTGACACAACCACATTTTTCTACTAAAATAAATAACTAAACTAAAATGAATAATAAACAAAAATAAAGGCAAAGCTCTTCCTCAGATTCTTTTATTCAAATGGCAATTAGACCTACATATTATTCACCAGTCTTAGATATATTTCAGATTTCCAAATTGGCATGAGAAAATCAATTCATCAATTTGCTAGCATTTTTAATTTATGGACAATTATTTTCTTAAAATGGTATGTAATCAAAATACTGAGTTAAAAATTCTGAAAGAGTCATTTAAGAACAACAACAAACAACAACAGCAACAACATTTTATCAGCATGGCAAGGAAATGACAACTCCATTTCAATTAAAGGATCATTGTCCATTCTCCCCCAGTTCCCATTAGTGAGGAATGGGGTTCATAATGACAGAGTGAAAGTGAGGCATTGAGGGAGAAGGCAAAAGATCACAAAAGAAAGCAGGAATACATTGATTTCTAAACCAAATCCAGACTACTAAGAACATTGGTTTTCTCAGGGCTTACTATCATTACATATACTACGCAAAGTCACCTTCAGAGGTTGTAGGCCTCCAGAAAATTGCTCTGTGTGTTCCGTTGCCTACTGAAATTCCCAAGTATTTTGAACGAGTGATATCAGATTAAAATAAAGATCGAGCTCAGAGTTGAATAGAAATTATCCCTTAAAATGGCAGCCTAAACAGAAGATGTGAGCTATAAAAGAGGGAGTACTGATCTTTGTGTTTTTAATGGGAATGAGGTAGAGGTTGTATGGCCGTGAGATGAGGACTCTTTTTATTTTATTTTTTTTTAACTTTTAAGTTCAGGGCTACAAGTGCAGGTTTGTTACATAGGTAAACTTGTGCCATAGGGGTTTGCTGTACAGATTATTTCATCACCCAGGTATCAAGCCTAGTACCCATTAGTTGCTTTTCCTGATCCTCTTCCTCCTCCAACCCTCTACCCTCCGAAAGGCCCCAGGGTGTGTTGTTTCTCTCTATATGAGGACACTTTTAAGCATAAGACAGCAGAGCCATTTCCCTTCCTCATTCTCATTTGTCTGCTGCCTATCAGAATTGTGCTTAAGAAAATTTATATGCCCTTAAAACGCTGGAGCCAAATGTATTTTTTTGGTCTTTTTGTTGGGCCATATTCAAGGAAGTAATCTTGAATGGGGAAACAGAAAGGCTATGCCCTGGGTGTTAAAGTATTTCATAATCTCTAGAGGAGCCATCTGGTTTAAGAAGGCACATTGAATGCTATAATATGCTGTAATATATGAGGGAAACAGACTTTTTATACTATCAAGCCTTTCATGAAAAAATTTCATGAAAAAATAAACAAAATCATTTTAGCTTTTAATCTTGGAACTATATTTAGTATAGGAGTGATTCACAAATAGCAGAGTTACTCTCCCATTCGAAGGGGTTATCAGAATCTCTGGAAGACACATTCACTTTTAGTATTAAGTAGAGGGAGCTTGAAATTTTGCAAGGATTTTAGGGACAATTCTATAAGTGACATAAATAGAAAAAACCCTCCAAACTTGGTAAAATAATAAATTATCCCATGGTGTTGCCATTTTAACTTTGATATCTGTATTAAAATGAAACTTCAGAACTCCAAACATATGTCAATATTTTATAGCATGAAACCCCAAGGAAGTCTAACTAATAGATGTTTTACGTAGGGAAAAGGTGAAGACTACAAACTATTTATTTGCTTGGTTTGTTTGTTTTTTGAAGATCAGTATACTGCATTGAGCACACTCTACAAGGGGAAATATTTTCATGAAACCTGGTTGCATTTAATAAAAACGTTTATTTCCCACACTGCAGCCCATGACCTTCCCCAGAAAATATTCCAATACGAACCAACTGCCTTGATAACAGAACACAAACCTCCTAGGACTATAGCAGGACTTTGTGAGAAAGAAAACCATTGCCTCTCTCTGAATCCAATCAAAACCTGAATGTACTGTATAAAAATAAACCAAGGTCATCATTATTCCTTGTCATTGTGATTTGGCGTGCCTTCAAATTATATACCCTGTATATTTCAAATAACTGCACCGCCTCCATTAACTGAGTTTGACATCACTTTAATCAATGTATCTTTTCAGAATGAAAGGCAGAAATGTCAAATTCCTACCATTATAAATTCTTTTAACTCTCTAATCTGCATTAAATAAAAGGTTGTCTTTGAGAAATAATAAATGCTCTAAAGAAATATAACTAGCATCAATTTTATTTTAAAATGTAACTGGGAAAAGATTAAATGTCAACACATCTCTTCATACAGAGGTGATTTCCCAAGAAACTATTAAAGCCTTACTTACATGAGGGGCCCCTCCCAAGGCTGTATCCAATTTTCTATTATTTTTCTTAAAATAGCACCCCCAATTGTATAACCTCAGGCCCCATAAATCCTTTCTTCCTGGTTCGTTCTGTGTTGTCAGACAGGGAATGTACATTAGTCTCATTTGTCAATTCCTTAAAAAATGATGTGTGTTTAAAATAGAAAATTTAGAAAAATGAACAGAAAATTATCTTTAAAGAAAGGTTAATTTCTAATTAGACCCTCTTAGGAAACTTTATACCCTGTGATTTGAATGCATATAAATGTGCATATATATAAATATATATACTCATACCAAAATACTGTGTTTCTTGTATGTGTGATGAAATAAAGAGTTGATGAAAAAGTATGATAAATCATTTTTAATAAGTTAGGAAAATATTACAATAGAAGGTGGAAGGAGAAGGAAAGTTTGGGAAATGACTTTGTTTTACTCTTGAGATAAAATTTTGATGAAAGATAATAAAATAGAATTTTGAAAAACACCTGATGTTTCCAAGACAATGATTTTAATCTCTTTTATTAAACTACACAAGTGGTTAAAAACTTGACAATTTGTTTCATATGTAGCAAATGACATGGAGTACAGGGATTTCAAATGAATGCTATAGGAATAAAGAGGAAGCTGTATTAATATCTGTGCCCAAATGATGAATTTGCAATTCAGTACTGTCTAGCTGGAATAGTGTCAGCCAACACCTTTTTCCCCTTAAATAATGTAATTATGCATAGAACACTTTGTAGTCTTTTTTTAAAGTTTAGAGTAACATCTATATGACATACTCTATTGTATTTTTCATAATGTTATGTCATGTAAGATACACCAAAAGCTTTGTATTAACAGTATATCATCAATTTAGATCAGCAATCTCTTTTTCGTAGTTAAGATGTCTTTAAAAGATTCTGCAGATGAAATTCTAAAAGGTGATTTTATTAGACCTCAGATGACTTACATCATTTAAATATATTCAAATGAAATGTCTATTTGCAGTACACTATTTGAATAATTCTTTACAATGCATTATTTGAGTAATTCTAAAAGTGAACAATACAATATGTTTGACAATACAGTGATCTCTTTTAAAGGGTAACTGTTTTGGTTAAAAAACAACAAAACGTACTTTTGTAAGTTTATCAAACTACGGCAAATTTACAAACTGGATTCAAATGTCAAACATCCAAGTAGCAGTATGTTGTCAAACAGCAAAATTTAATGTATAATATAGCCCTGAGTATATCTCCGTTTTTTCTTACCAAACTCATTGTCATGTTGCATAGGCATTACTTGATGATTTTTTAAATGCAGCGTGAAAAAATCCTACAGGGCATGTCCCAAAAAGATTACCTTTCTTCGCATTCTAAGAATTGAAAGTTATTTGAATATCTATGACAAAGCAGAGTGTAGATTTACCTTGCTTAATTTCAGCAGAATTGCATATATTCTTTCAAAATTGCTCTATATACTTGTATATGATGTTAATTATGTAGAATATATATATATATAAAATCACTAGTGATTTTGATGGTATTTATGTTACATATATCAAAGAAATAAAAACAAAAAATAAAAATGTGTGTGTATATTGCAAACAACAGATATATGCCATGCATATATTTGTAATGATAGTAAATATAATAGTTTTTCAATCTAAAAGTAATAATGATGTCCACCAAAAGAAATTTATGAAGCAAGCCAACAATGTAAGTAAATATTGTATTATAAAGTCTGGTAGCTTTTAATGTGACTCAATACATGGACAATGTTAACTTATTTCCACAAAGTTTTCCCAGTGGCAAAACTTCTGCCTTTTTTTTTAGTAGTTGTGGAGCATTACTTATTTGGAGAGATTTATTTTTTCATTCTTAATTATAGGCATTGCCCTCATATCTATTTTAGAATAACTACACTCCACAAGTCAAAGATGGGTGGGGAAGAGATAAACTCCCATCTCTTCGGGACACACAGTCCTTATCATATATTATTTTTACTGTTGTGCCACAGTCCATTTTTAAATCCTTCATTAGTCATCATGACTTTCTTAAAAATAAACGAAATAGTTGTATTTCTATATGAAAGACAAACTAAAAAATTGAACTGAAAAGCTGGCTCATAATAGACATGAAACAACAAGGTGACTTTACTACTAAATATAATTAGGAGTTCCTCAAGTTTGTATGTCGTTTACCCAAGAAATCATCTGATCATTTGATAGCATAGATCACATCATTATTTGAAATAATTATCATGATATGCTACAGAAAAGAGCATTTGAAATAGTAAATGTGAGTAAGAAACATTAAAATTAAATCTTTATCAATACTTTTCACATCCTTCAATTATCCGTCCCAACTCATTTTATTCTTTATTTTATCCATGATGTGTCAGAGAAACTTTTTCTAACTTTTAGGCCTCCATGTAGTTCCTATACAGTAGTTAGTTCAATTGAGAATATATGTCAGGTCAGTAACCTTTATGTAACTGTTACTAAATACGGAAGTATCAACTAATCAAAATAATAACTCAGATATACAAACTATCTCACAGCAATCAAAATAAATCTGTTATAGTCAAATGACATTCTGCATATTCTATTACTGCAGTGGTTTGTTAATCAAGAAATCATGTGTTTAGTTCTATCGCAAAGAAAAACTTTTACACTCCATTTCTGTTGAAAAGTTTTCCCAATGAAAAATATATATTCCTGAATAAATACATATATATATGCAGTATATATAACATTTATGCTTCTTTGCAAACTACTGTGATAATTTAAAATCAATCTACCTAATTAGTGAGCTTGTCACAAACTAAACGTTATGCCACAGTAAAATATATTTTTAGTTACTTTGTACTTACAACAGTCCTCTACTTCTTCCCACCAAAGCATTTTGAAAAGTGTATATCAAGGCAGCGATAAAAAAAACCTGGTAAAAGTTCTTCAAACTTTATTGCTCCAGTAGGCTTAAAAACAATGAGAAACCAACAAACTTCAGCAGCTTTAAAAAAAGTAACACTTCAGTTTTTCCTATTCGTTTTTCTCCGAAGGTAATTGCCTCCCAGATCTGAGTCCTGTAGGGGGAAAGTGAGTGATCCCAACACTGAGTGAGTCAACACAGTAACTGATGCCAGGATTCTGTAGAGGCCCCCGGATATTTCAAATTCCAGGACCTGCGCACAAGCAAGTGACCCGCCTTCTCTCTCAAGTTGGTTTCCCATAATAGGACTGTCCATGGTCACTACATATAAGGTTGTGCTTCCAGCATGGCAAGCTCTGTGAATTCAAACAATGCTCAACTGTGTTCTGATTAATATCCAAACCAGAATAGCACAGTGGACATAGTACTTGCTTTTAAAGCCTTCTAAACACAAAAACTATTCAGTACAAAAGCATAACAATACTTTCTGTAACTTTCATGTGAATTTATTAACAGAGCAGAAAATCCGGATTCAAAATTGACTTTTAAATGCCTTTTTTATCCTCTCAACAACACCAAAAATTTCACTCTACCAAATAAAAAGGAATGCCCAGAATAATCCATGCATTTGTTATGTATCCACTGTCTACCAAAGTTATTTTTTCCCCTTGGGATTCAATCAAAAGTTATGTATTGATGATGCCAACAGTCTGAATAAGAGAAGCAGCAGCAGAATGCAGCAGCTGAATTCTGAAGGCAGAATGTGTGTGTGTATAGGTCTCATGGGACATGTTTTCCTGCTAAAATAAAGAATACTCTTATAATGCAGGAAAGAAATTTTTCTCAAATCCTAAATTTCAGTTGTGAATTATGCTAAAACTTCTTTACTAACAAATTATTCTTTCTTCCATTTCTCTGGTGCCAATTCTTAAAACACCATTTTTTTAGACATTGAGTTAATGATCATTTAATGGTTCTGAATAGAGGCTTGTTTTCTGTATTAAGTGAATACAGTTGTATTATGTCATTCAGCATGTAAATCATTCTTTGCCAATAGAAAGCTTCTTCATCTTGTTCCTTATTACTTTTATGCAACAGGCGAGCCCAAAATTGATAGAAAACATTGGAAACATTTTTTAAAGAAAGATATTCTTTTTATAGTTATAATAATCCCTACTAAAATTTTTGTTTGAGTGTTTTTATTGTACCATTTGTTAAAGTGACAGACTCATTTTTCTATGTCAAACATTCAACTGCTTGCGACTGCAATGAGTAATAGATAAAAATTAAAAAAATATTGAGTCAGACTGTGATGTTTACCTTAATAGTTAATTGTACATTTTGTGTTTTAGAATATTATTGTCATAACATTGCTATTTTCCCCAGCAAAAGGTGTATGAGATAAAACATAAGGCCTAATTTTAATTTAAAACATTCTTTTCCCTAGGTCACCTCCTTTCCTCTCAGTGTGGTTGTCTAAATATGCATATAAGCAAAATTTTCATAAAACAACATAGAAAAAATGAAAAAATTGTTTTGGGGCTGATTTGGCTCTAAGTCTGCATGTTAGCATCAGTGTCCCTCTATGCTGTGAGGTACAATATTGCCCAGAGTATAAGTGCCCTTTGTATCTTGCACTGTGAGTTTTCTACAAACATAAACCCTTGTTTAGGCCAAGGCGTGAATACAACTTGTCGGTCCCAAACCAACATCAATATCACGTGGGAACTTCTGAGAAATGCAAGTTGACACGAGACCTCAAAAGTCAGAAATTCTGGGGTTGGGACACAGCACTCTGTGTTTTACCGGTGATTCTAATGCATGGTCAACTTTGAGAAACCCTAAAGTGTATGTTTCTAAAAACAACCGTGGTTCTAAATGTAACAAAGATGTGTCCTGGGTAATGTCTAAAGCACCAAATCCTGATAGATCTGAATGCCCTGAGATACATTTAATTGCCATTCAGCCTTAGTTGATAATCAGAATTTATTTGGCACCTATAATGATTTCTGCATTGTGTGGAATGCATATACTTCCCTTAAGATTTTATAATCCAGGTGCAAATATATGCTTACAATAACTGGAAAAGTGAAAGGCACGTAAAATAAAATTTAGACCGAACAAATTGAACTCCAGTTCAGACTGTGTCACCACAGTACTTTCTTGTGTCCCTTAATCACTTATCTTTCTCCTTTAGTCCTCAGAATAACTACATCTTGTAGGTCTTATTAGCCCCATAATAAAGGAACTTGCTCAAATTTCCATTTTTAATAACTGTCACAGAATTTTTAAAAATTTATTTTAACTTGTTATTTTCAAATACTTATAGATTCACAGGAATTTGCGGGGATAGTATACAGAGATCCCATGTACCCTTCACCCAGTTTCTCCCAAAGATTAACTACAATAACTACAATTCAGTATCCTACAATAACTACAATTCAGTATCAAAACCAGGAAACTGACATTGATATGTATACATATTTCTATTTCATCACTGATTTGTGTAACCTCAACCTCCACAAATAAACACCTGTTTCATCACCACAGAGATTTGCCTCATGCTACCCCTTTACAGTCACAACAGTCACCCTCCCTAAATATCCCTAAAGCCTGGTACCAATCAATTTGTTCTCCATCACTGTAATTTTGTCATTTTAAGAATATTAGATAAATGCAATGATTCGGTATGTAACCTTTTGAGATTGGCTTTTTTTTTTTTTTTGGCATTCTGTACTTGAGATCCATTTAAGTTGTCATCAATAGCTTATTTCCTTTTATTGCTGAGTAGTAGTTCATGGCATGGATGTTCTATAGTTACTTTATTCACATACTGTGGGATATTTTCGTTGTTTCCAGGGTTTGGTCACTACAAATAAAGCTGCAAAACAATCATGTAGTTTTTCATTTTTCATTCCTCTAGATTCATGTCCCAGAGTGTGGTTATAATTTACCATATAAATTTTAGAATAAGTTTATCTACAAATAGATCTACAGATCTATCTACAGAATATCTTTCAGGTAGAATTTTGATAGGAATTGCATTAAAATTATGAATACATTTTGGAAGAATTGATGTTTTTACCGCATTGATTCCTCCAATTCATTAACATAGTACATATGTCCAATATTTAGGTTATCTTTAATTTATTTCATCATACTCGGCTTTTTTACACAGTGCTTTGTGTTGTGATTAGATATATTAATATTTCTAATATAATGGCACTACTGTCGGTTATGCATGTGATTGCACAAAAAAAGGAAAACAGCAGAGTTTCCAAAACCCGTTCTTTTCCTGTTTGTTTTTGCTTTTTAAGAAATTTTCATTTAAGAGATGGAGGCTTGCTCTGTCATCCAGGCTGGAGTGTAGCGACACAATCATACCTCGTTATAGTCTCAAACTCCTGGGCTCAAGTGATCCTCCTGCCTCAATCTTCTGAGTAGCTGGGTCTACAGGTGAATGCCACCATATTCAGCTAATTTAATATTTTTTTTAGAGACAGGGTCTTGTTATGTTGCGCAGGCTGGTCTTTAACTTCTGGCCTCAAGTAATCCTCCTGCCTCAGCCTCCCCAGGAGCTGGGATTATAGGCATGAGCCACCACACTCGGCCAGTTTGTAAAAAGAAGCACATTTAAAAATGTTTACGTTGTTAAAAAATGTTATATGCTTGTTGGCCGCTTGTATGTCTTCTTTCAAGAAGTGTCTGTTCAGGCCGGGTGTGTTAGCTCATGCCTGTAATTCTATTACTTTGAGAAGTTGAGGCAGGCAGATCGCTTTGAGCTCAGGAGTTCAAGACCAGCCAGGGCGACATGGTGAAACCCCATCTCTAAAAAAAATACAGCCGTGATGTCAGGCGCCTGTCATCACAGCCACTCAGGAGGCTGAGGCTGGAGAATCGCTTGAGCAGGGGAGGTGAAGTTTGCAGTGAGCCGAGACTGTGCCACTGCACTTCAGCCTGGACTAAGAGCAAGACCCTATCTCAAAAAAAAAAAAAAAAGTGTCTGTTCATATACTTTGCCCATTTTTAATGAATGTATTTGTATTTGGTTTGTTGATTTAAGTTTCTTATAGATTCTGGATACTAGGCCTTTGTCAGATGCATATTTTGTGAATATTTTCTCCCATTCTTCGTCTGTTTACTTTGTTGATGTTTCTTTTGCTTTGCAGAAGCTCTTTGGCTTAGTCAAGTTCCACTTGTCAATTTTTGTTTTTGTTGCAATGGCTTTTGGGGACTTAGTCATAAATTCTTTGCCAAGACCAATGTAAAAAAGGGTACTTCCTAGGTTTTCTTCTAGGATTTTTTACAGTATGAGGTCTTATATTTAAACCTTTAGTTCACCGTCAGTTGATTTTTGTATATAATGAAAAGTAGAGGTCCAATTTCAATCTTCTGCATGTGGCCAGCCAGTTTTCCCAGCACCATCTATTGAATAGGAAGTCCTTTCCCCATTGCTTATTTTTGTTGACTTAGTCAAAGATCAGATGGTTATAGGTGTGTCGCTTTGTTTCTGGGTTCACTATTCTGTTCCATTGGTCTATGGTCTGTTTTTGTACCAGTACCATGCTGTTTGGGTTACTGTAGGCTTATAGTATAGCTTGAAGTCAGGTAGTGTGATGCCTCTTGCTTTATTCTTTTAGCTTAAGATTGCTTTGGCTCTATGGGCTCTTTTGGTTCCATACAAATTTGGATTAGTCTTTTCTAATGAAAATGAAAAATGAAAATTGACGTTGGTAGTTTGATAAGATTAGCACTGAATCTGTAAATTGCTTTGGGCAGTATGGCCATTTTAACAATATTTATTCTTCCAATCCAAGAGCATGAAATGTTTTGCATTTATTTGTGTTGTCTCTGATTTCTTTCAGCAGTGTTTTGTAGTTCTCCTTGTATAGTTCTTTCACCTCCTTGGTTAGCTGCATGGTCATGAAAAAGAATGAAATCATGTACTTTGCAGCAAGATGAATGCAGCTGGAGGCCATTATCCTATGCAAATTAACACAGGAACAGAAAACCAAATACCGCATGTTCTCACTTATAAATGGGAGCAAAACACTGAGTACACAGTGGACATAAAGATGGGAACAAGAGATACTGGGGACTACTAGAGGGGGAATGGAGGGAAGCGGGTGTGAGCTGAAAAACTACCTACTGGGTACAATGCTCACTACCTGGGTGACTGGATCATCAGTACCCCAAACCTCCACATCACACAATATGCCCTTGTAACAAACTCCTGAACATGTACCCCCGATTCAAAATGAAAGTTGAAATTATTTTGTTAAAATTTTAATGAAATTACAATTGTTTACAGATGAATTAATTAGACATACATTTTTCAAAAATATAAAGCATAATTTTTATTACAGTGAACTCATACACATTTTTTTAAATTACTTTTTTTTGTCTACACTTAGATGATACATGTTGTAAAATGAAGACTGGCCCATGATTATATTCCAATATTAACCAGTCATCCTTGTGTTATTAAATAGATGGCATATTAATTAGAAAGAACTGAATATGGTAAACGTAAAGTGAACAAGGAGTTAATTCTTAAATAATTGGAAACCCTAAAGGCATTATTTTATATTACTTTGGAAGTGCAGGGTCATTTTCCCAACTTGTTTGATTATTTAATATAATTCCAAGCATTATGATTAATGCAGCTTCACAGGACAAATAAGTTGAAGAGAAACAGGCTTATTAGGTAATATACTTATATAAAATTCACAAATTTATTGATTAGGGAAAAAATCATTATGGATCATTTCTACTTCCTTTTTCCACAGTGATCCATATTGGTTGAAATGTTACCCATATTATAAGGCATATATTTCTTAGGTGTTTAAAAAATCTCTTTAGTTAAGTCCAATGGGAAAATATGCTAGTTTGTGAGTGAGTTTATAGGCACTAGGACCAGAAAAAATAAGACAAATAGAATTCAAGCAATTTGGAGGGTGTCCAAATAGACAAAAATGTTTCACTGATGTTTTGATAGGAATTGCATTCAAACTATAGATTAGTTTTGGAAGAATTGATATATTTACTATGTTGTATCCTCCAATTCCATTAATACAGTATATATCTCCGTTTATTTAAGTCTTTGCATTATTTCCTTAGCTTTTTAGTTTGTAGTATATAGATCTGGTAAATGTTTTATTAGATTCATAAGTATTTCATTGTTTCAGAGTGACTGCAAGATACTATGTGAAAAATTTTGGGTTTCAGTAGTTAATTGCTTGTATACAAAAATACAATTAATTTTTAATAATCATTTTACTGTGATAAGATTTAATATGAGATCTACCCAACGAACAGATTCTTAAATTATAATGCTGTATTGTTACATATAGATACGATGTTGTACAGCAGATCTCTAGAACTTATTCATCTTATATAAATGAAACTTCATATTCATTGATTAGCAATTGACTTTTATAAGTTGATCTTGTATCCTAAGACCTTAACAAACTCATCATTTCTAAGAGTAACTTTGTAGAATACCTGGGATTTTACATAGATCATCATAACATCTGCAAATGGAGACAGTATAACTTTTCCTTCCTGATTTGTACGCTTTTATCCACTTTTCTTGCATTTTTACACTAGCTAGAACTTCCAGTACTATGAATAATAGTAGGGCTGAAAGCAACCGTCTTTGCCTTAATCCTAATATTAGGAAGAAAGGTGTAAATTCTTTCATTATTATTACAATGTTAGCTATAAGATTTCTGTAGTTATTCTTTTCCAAGTTGAGGACGTTCTCCTCCATTGTTAGTTTTCTGAGAGCTTTTATCATAAATGGGGCACTGAATTTTGTCAAACGTTTTTTCCCCTCCATCAATTGATATGATCAAGTGATTATTCTTCTTTAGCTTCTTAATATAATGTGTAAAAATTTGTTAAGGCTTTTTGTCTCTATATCCATGAGTTTTATTGGTCTGTAATTTGTTGACTCTTCTACTGTGCTTACCTGGTTTTATTATCAAAATACTTCTTCCTCATAAAGTACATTTGGAAGTGTTGCCTCCTCTTCTATTTTCTGGAAGTTGACAGTTCTCTCCTTTCATCACTTGAAAAATGTCATACTTCTTCCTTCGGGCTTTCATGGTTTCACATAAGAAATCCTCTGCCATTTGAACTTTTTTGCCTATAGATAAAGTGTCTTTTTCTCTTTCACTGTTTTTAAGACTTTTTTTAAAAAAAAAATATAACTAGTTTTCAGACATTTGACTATGATGCGTCTAAGCATGAGTTTCTTTGGGTTTATCCTGTATACTCAGCTCCTTGAATCTGTAGGGTTTTGCATTTTACAAAATTTGGTATTTTTCAATCATTATGTGCTTGAGTACTTGTTCAACAACACCCTCCCTTTTTGAAACTCTGATGGCATAAACCGTAGATCTTTTATTATAATCCCATAGGACAACTGAGAATATTTTCATTTTAAAAATCGTTTTTTTCCTTCTTGTTACGACTGTGTAATTTCTATTGTCCTATCTTTCTGCACACAGATTTCCCCTGTCTCCTCACCTCCATTCTACTGTTGAGACCATTTATTGAACTTTTTTTTGATTACGATATTTTTAGTTCTAAAATGTCATGTCGTTCTATGTCTTCTATTTCTTTCTGACTTTTCCCATTTTTTATTTGTTGCAAAATGTTTTAAAAAGCTTACTCAACAATTTTCGGGATGGCTACTTTAATATCCTTGCTAGATAATTCTGTCATCTTTGTCATGTCAGTATAAGTGACTACTATCTTTTTGCATTCCAGTTGAGATTTTCTTTTTTGGCATTTGGGATATTACATTATCAGACTCTGGATCTTATTTAAATCTATTTTAGCTCGTCCCCTTCTGACTGTTCTGGTGGAAGATAGAGGTAGAAGTGTGCTGCCTTATTGCCAGGTGGGAGTGAAGGTCCTGGTTCCCCACTCCATCTATGGTTGATACTTTAGAGATTATTGTGTGTGTGTGTGTGTGTGTGTGTGTGTGTGTGTGTGTGTGTGTGTGTTCTGTAAATAAATTTTACTTGACACCATCTTAATTCCCTTTAAAATTAGTAAGTAGATATCTGGAACCTTGTGAGTTCATTTTTAAATGTTCAGATTTTTTTTTCCACTGGACAAAAAAAAAAAAAGAGCTTTAACTCACATTTCCATAGACAATGAAGCCCATGGCATTCACATAACGATGTGATTTCAGGACTTGGTACTACATATCAGTACTATCTATAGAGTCAAGAAAGAAAACATTTGCTTACCAAATATAAGCAAAACTCAAAACTAATTTGCCTGTGTTGTGAAAATAATGACTCCTCACTTTGTGGAT
This sequence comes from Homo sapiens, assembly GCF_000001405.40. Taxonomy (NCBI): domain Eukaryota; kingdom Metazoa; phylum Chordata; class Mammalia; order Primates; family Hominidae; genus Homo; species Homo sapiens. Next base: position 33,219,673 of record NC_000023.11, read on the forward strand.
TGATTCCCAACTGTTTTATGAGGTAAATGTACAGGGATTAATGAAGATTTTTAAAGATTTCTGAATGTAAGAAAGGTATTATGAGTACAAAGATAGTAAATGCATTGATGCTAGTGAGCTGAGAATCAGTAACATGTTTTAATAGTTGTATCTCTTATGGGGTATTAGTGAAGATCCTGGTAGGAAATATAGGTAGCAGATTCAAAAGCATTTAACAGATAATAATTCGGTGAAAGAACTATGGACAAACATATAGGCAGGCTGATGAGAACAAATAAGGGATGGTGAGTCACCTAGCAAGCAGCAAGAGAGGTAATTTGTTTCTACCTCCAGGCCTAATATGTCAAGGTAAAGGAATAATGTTGGAATAGCAATAGAAAAGGGCAGTCACTACCAGGACCTTAGTGAGGCATATGTGAAGTGGAACACAAATATCCAAACCTTTTTTTCCCTTGCCCTCTGATGTCCAGCTGGTGTCACATAATTTCCTAAAAGTTAGTGCACAAGAGGCGTTGGTGATACAAATGAAGAGACAAGCTTTCCAGGGCAAAAAACAGGGCAGAGAATTGCAAAATGGGTGTGGTAGCGAGGAGTGGAGCCACTGCCACTAATACAACTGAAGAATTTTTAGCAAGCAGGCTCACCCCTACCATTTCAGTCTTGGATGGATACTCAGTACTAGTGTGATACCTTGTAGAAAATATGATCAAGGATGAATAGATCCTACGCAATGTAGCCTTTGCCTTCATTTTCAACCCTACATCTCTGAACTTCCTTGAGTTATGTTATGTGCTTTCCTACTATTATATCTCAGATTATTTAAAAAATTCATCATACATGTTTTCTGAGCATGCAGCTTTACTCCCTTTTTGCATGTGTGATAAATAAATTGGGTGTATGTTTAAGGTGTTTCTTACCTGATGGAAGGCAAGCTCCATCAAAACAGTTGTGTCTTCCTTTTTAGTTGCTTTATCACTATTGCTTGTCATTTTGTTGTGTGAATAAAATTGTCTCCACTTGCAATTTCTTTGTATTATATCCTTTGTGTATTATATGCTCCCTCATTCTTCTGGGCTTTGTTTAAATTTACTTTATGAAGATTATTTTTTTTAGCTTCTCCTCACTCCCACTCATAGATGGGTCTAACAATATGAATGCATCTTTACTACTCAGCTGTAAACTTCTTGATATTAAGAATTAATTGCTATTTATATTATGTTGATAACTTTAGCTCTCAAAAGCACATTGGGTGTAATAGGAGTTTAGTGATATCAGTTGGAAAAAAGGAAACAGGCAAGAGAGGGAAATAAAGAAATTTATGATCCAGATCATCATAAAATTTAAAATAAACTTTGAATGTTTGAGAGTAGCAAACCAAATCTCTTTGAGAGTGTATGCTAAAAGAAATTATGAACCTTGGTACTATGGGATGACCATAGTGACAAATTCTCATTTAAAACAATGGAACTGGGCCGTGGAATAAATGTGTATTTATTTATGAAACATTTATTAGGGCCAGATTTTCTGCATTAAAGATATGAGCTAACAACTTCAGGTCCCTGCCCTCAAATAGATTATACCTTGGGTATATTAAAAGAAAAGTTGACATTTTAATCGACCTGCTAATTGATAAACTTCAATAAGCTTGAAGACTTTCGTCTCAGAGAGGTACCTAATAGCAAGACCAGGTTTTAAAGATAACACCGTATGCACTGCCTACTATAAAATATTGTCATTTAGGTTAAATTAAGCATTGCGTTTTAAAAAGCTGCTCCCAAACGCATACACTAGACAAGATGAAAAGTCTCAGATCAATAATCAAAGTTCTCATCTCAAGAAGAAAATAATAAAGAGTAAAAACTAATCAAAATAAAAACAGAAAAACAGTAAAGAAGATTCATTAACAAAGAGCTATTTTTTCAAAACGGTCAATAAAATTGACAATGTGCTAAAAGTGACAAAGAAAAAATTGAGAGGACACAAGTTACCCGTATCAGAAATGAAGTAGGGAATATTACTACAGGCCTGGAAAATACAAAGAAAAAAAAAGACAGTAAGGGTTTACTATGAACAATTCTTCACATAAGTATTTAATAATTTAGATGAAATAGATTGATTCTTCAAAAGGCACAAACTACTGTAAATCAATGAATATAAAATGGATAATTTGAATGGCCTAGACTTTGGCTATTTAATAGTAATTTGGATATACTAGATAATGAGTATAACTGTTAAGGAAATATAACTCATAATTTAAAAACTTCTACAAAAGCAAACTTCTATAACTGCATTGGAAAAGTATGCCAATCTTGTGAAGAATTAACACCAATTCTACACATTCTTTTCCAGAACATGGAAGGGAAGAAAACAATTCTGAGTATATGTGTTGAGTCCAGCAATAGCCTGATACCCAAACCAGAAAAACAGTACAAAAGAAGAAAACTATAAATCCATATTCCTTACAAATATTAATGGAAAATTTATTAATACAATTTCAGCACATAAAATTCAGCAATGTACTAATGGATCACTTGGGGTTTATTTCCAGGATGTAAATCTGGCTTGATATTTGAAAATTAGTCACTACAATCTACCATATTAACAGGTCATAGAGGAAAAATCACACGATGTTATCAGTAAATGTACTAAAAGCATTTGACAAACTGATATATCTAATCTTGAAACAACCTGTCTGAAAAATAGGACTAAAGGAGAATTTCCTCAACTTAATAAACAACATCTACATAAACCTACAGCTAACTTCATACTTAATAGTGAAGTATTAAATGCTTTCCCCTTAATATTGTGAACAAGGCGTGAATGCACACGCTCACCACTCTTATTCACGTACTGCTACAAGTTCTAGCCAGTGCAATGAGGCAAGACAATTAAATCAATCCATACAGATGGGAAAGGAAGACATAAAATTGTCCCTTATATGTAGATGGCATGAAAATAAAATTTTCAAGCTATCTATAAATAATCTCCTAGAAATTATTGATAAGTGAATTCATCAAGGTAGCAGGATGCAAGATAAATATACAAAAATTGATTGTAACCATTTACATTAGCACCTCCCACAAATGAAATTCTTAGATCTAAAACTAGCAAAATACATACCATATCTATATGAGGAAAACTGCAACCCTCTGATGAAAGAAATCATAGAAGATAATCCATATTCATGGATGGGAAGGCTCAATATTTTTATTATGTCAGTTATTCTCAAATTGATCTATAGACTCAATGTAATCCCAATCAAAATCTCAGTAGTTACTTTGCAGATATTAACAAAGAGATTCTAAAAATGATATGGAAAGGCAAGAAACCTTGAATAGCCAAAACAACATTGAAGGGCTGGGCGTGGTGGCTCACACCTGTAATCCCAGCACTTTGGGAGGCCAAGGTGGGCAGATCACTTGAGGTCAGGAGTATGAGACCAGCCTGGCCAACATCATGAAGCCCCGTCTGTACTAAAAACAACAAAAATTAGCTGGGAGTGGTGGCACACGCCTGTAATCCCAGCTACTTGAGAGGCTGAAATGAAAGAATCGCTTGAACCCAGGAGGCGGAGATTGCAGTGAGCCGAGATCATGCCATTGCACTCCAGCCTGGGTGACAGAGAGAGGGAGACTCCATCTCAAACAAACAAACAAACAAACAAAAACAATATTGAAGGACAAGCACAAAGTCAGAAGATTGAGACTGCTCTACTTCAAGACTTCGGTAATCAAGACAGTGTCTTATTGGCAAAAGAAGAGATCAATGGAACAGAATAGAGAGCCCAGGAATAAACCCACATAAATATAGTCAACTGACTGATGTTTGATAACGGAGCAAAGACAACCTTTTCAATAAATGGTGCTGGAACAACTGGGCATCCACATGCAAACACCTTTCACAAACATTAACTCAAAATGGATCAGAAACTTAAATGTAAAATGCAAAACTATAAAGCCCACAGAAGATAACATAGGAGAAAATCTATATGGGTCTGGTGATGACTTTTTAGATATAACACCAAAGACATGACCTATGCAAGAAATAATTGATAAGCAGGACTTCATTAATATTGAAAAATTCTATGCTGCAAAAGACATTGTCAAAAGAATGTAAAGACAAGCCACAGAATAGGAGAGAATATTTGCAAAAGACATATCAGGTAATGGACTGTTATCCAAAATATACAAAGAACTGTTAAAAATCAACAATAAGAAAACAAACAACTCTATTTTAAAAATGGGCAAAACACCTTAACAGATAACTCACCAAAGAAGATATACAGATGGAAAACAGGCGTATGAAAAGACGCTTCACATCATATGTCATCAGGAAATTGCAAATTAAAACAACAATGTGATGCTACTACATACCTCTTAGAATGGTCAACACTCAGAACAGTGACACCACCCAATGCTGGTGAGGATATGGAGTAATAGGAACTCTTGTTCATTGCTTGTGAGAATGTAAACTTGTACAACCACTGAAAATCAGTTTAAGGATTTTTTACAAAACTAAACATACTCTTGCTATATGATCAAGTAATTAGACTCTTTGGTATTTACCCAAATAAGCTGAAAACTTATGTCCGCACAAAAACCTGCAGATGGATGTTTATAGCAGCTTTATTCATAATTGCCTGAACTTGGAAACAACAAGATGTTCTTCAGTAGGTGAATGGATAAATAAACTGGTACATTCAGACTATAGATGCTAAAAAGAAATGAGCTATCAAGACATGAAAATACACTAAGGAAACTTAAATGCCTGTTTCTAACTGAAGGAAGCCAATCTGAAAATGCTTCTATATACTGTAGGATTCCAACTATATGACATCCAGGAAAGGTAAAATTATGAAGATAGTAAAAATATCAGTGGTTGCCAGGGGTTAGTTGGCAGGGAGGCATGACTAGGCAGAGCACAAATATTTTAGGTCAGTGAAACTACTCTGTATGATATTATCATAGTAGATACACATCACTATAAATTTGTCCAAACACACAGAAAACACAACAACAAGAGTAAACTCTAATGGAACCTATGGATCTGAGTTATAATGATGTGTTGACGTAGGTTCATTTATTGTAACGAATGTACCACTCTGGTGAGAGTTATTAATAATGACAGAGGCCATGCTCGTGCGGGCACAATGGGTAGATGGGAAATCTCTGTCTTTCAATTTTGCTGTGAACCTAAAGGTTCTCCAAAAATAAAGTCTATTAACAATCACTTGCATTCTGTGAATTAATAATGAACATATGGACATGGAAATTTAAAATATAGTATATTTTACTATGTCACAAAAATTAAATATAAATCTAACAAGCCATGTACTTACATGGTGAAAGCAAAAAAAAGTTTTAGAAGTAAATCATAGAACATCTAAATTAATGAAGAAATATATTGTGCTCGTGGATTGAGAGATTCAACACAGTAATGTCAATTTTACCCAAACTGTTACACAGTTTACACAATTTTTATCAAAATCTCAGCAATATTTTTGGAATTTAGGTGTAGGAAAAATTTATGTGAAAAGGCACTCTAAAATTTATGTGAAAAGGCAATGGATTTAGAATAGCTAAAACAATGTTGAAAAGGAAGAATGAAGTAAGAGGAATAAGTCTACCAGACTGAAGACTTATTAAATAGCTACAGTAATCAAGATAGTGTGGTGTTGGTGTTGGGATAGACACGCAGATTAATGGAACAGAATAGAGACTTCAGAAATAGACCCACACAAATTGCTCAACTGATTTTGACACAGTGCAAAATAATTCAGTGGAGCAAAGATAGTCTTTTCAACACATGGGTCTTAGAACAAGTGGACAAAAATAATGGAAAGAAAAAAGAAGAAAAAGAACCTTGACATAACTTTACACCTTATGCAAAATAAAATGCAAATAGATGATGAATTTAAATGTGAAACACAAAATAATAAATATTTTACAAAAACATACAGGAGAGTCTTCAGGATGAAAGGCTAGGAGGAGTTCTTAGATTTGACGTTAAAATCGTGTGCCTTAAAAGACACAATTTGATAAATTTGACATACAAAATTTTAAAATTTTGCTCTGAGAAAGATGCTGCCAAGAGGATGAAGAGACAGGCTGCACATCGAGAAAAATACCTGCAAACCATATATCTGACCATGCACTAGTATCTAGACTAAATGAAGAATTCATGTAACCCAAAAGTAAAAACAAAATAGACACAAAAAAATCCATTAGAAAAATGGGCAAAAGACATGGAGACATTTCACCAAAGACAACACATAGATGGCGGATAAGCTTGTGAAAAGATGTTCAGCATCATTGGCTCTTAGGGAAATTCGAATTAAAACCTCAATACGATATAACTCTGTGCATATTAGAATGGCTAAGTTAAAAAATAGTGACAACATCAAACACTGGCAAGAATGCAGAGAAATGAGATCACTTACACATTGTTGGTGGAAACATGAGATGGTAAAGGTACTCTGTAAAAGTTTGGTGCATTGTAAAAAACTAAACATACAACTAACCTACAGCCCAGAAATTTCATTCCATGGCATTAATCCCAGATAAATGAAAATTTGCTCATAAAAAAACTGTACATGAGTCTTCATAGCAGCTGTATTTGTAATAGGCAGAAACTGGAAACAACCCAGATGTCCTTCAACAGGCAAATGGTTAATCAAACTGGCATATTCATACCATGGAATACTACTCAGCAGTACAAAGGAACACATTGTTGATGCACATTACAAATCTGGAAGAATCTCCAGAGAATTATGCTGAGTGAACAAGGCTAGTCCTAAATAGCTACATAATACAGGGTTTCATTTACATAACACTTTTGAGATGATAAAATTATACAAATAGAGATCATATTAGTAGTTGCTAGAGATTAAGGAGTGCCTGAGGGCAGGAAAAAAGTGGGTCTGACCATGAAAGGGCAACATGAGTGATCCTTGTGGTGATGGAAATATCCTGTATTTTATCTGTGCTGATGTCAATATCTTGTTGTAATATTGTTCTATAGTTCTGTGACTTTACCTTAAGGAGGGACTGGGTAAAATGGCACACAGGATCTTTCTGTATTATTTCTTACAACTGCATGTGAATTTACAGTTATCTATCTATCTTTTTTTTTTAAAAGACAGTGGGCTGGGTTTAGCCTATGAGCCAAAGTTTACAGACTCCTGCCATACGACACTGACATTCGTGCATACAAATAAATATAAGATAAAACTACATTGTGAAGCCTGATGGAGATTAGGTGGCATCAATGTCATGTTTAACACTGTTGCACTTGCTTTTTTTTGTTAAAAGGATACTGCAACTAGATTATATAACGTAACACACTTAAAAGAATTATCTAATTCAGGAAAATTTTAAATATGCAAATCAGAATTCTGGGTATCGTTTAAATAAAATATTTAGAGTCTTGTAAAAACAGGCTCTCAGTGCCATTGTGTTATTGTTAATACTCAAAACTGTTTCATAAGTTTATTTATTGAAAGCCTAGACCAAGTTATTACTACACAAGAAAGAGTAAAGAAAACAATATAAATCTATGTGGATGACATTTTAGAGTGCAACTTCAGCAAACTTGTAGGCTCAAATTAAAATCCTTTCCTAATTTCTTTCTTTAAAAAAGCAAAAGAAAAAAATCCCCTCCCTGTTAGAATTATTTTTTTACTCTGTTCTTAAAACCACCATTTTTTTCCATGGCAAGGCTAAGTTTTCATCCTGATAAGGTTTTTCTGAAGGTTTAATGTGTCATCCTAAGAAACAATTGGTAAGAATTGATAAGAACAGAAGATCCAACGATTGCGGTGCCTAAAGCTCGAGGCTATTCTTAGTTGTGCATATTTTTCGAGCACGTGATTATATGAAAGTTCTGCACATATTTTTGAAGACTTCTATGAAATAAAGGGGCCCAAAAGCTTAAGCTTCATTTGCTTCCTGACAACTCAAATCATCTGGAAAGGAGAGAAGCTTTGAGAGGATTTATGTAGCAGATGAAGCTGCACATGCTATTTTCTCTAATAGTTTTTAAAGAGAGAGAGAGAGAGAGAGAGAGTCTTTGAGTGGCATCCTGTTTTGAATACCTCACTACAGAATGCCTTAAAAAGAAATGGAAAGAAAACACAAATAAACACCATTTATAATTTGGTTCAAAATTTTCTGAGCCCCACAATGAATATACTTACTCACTGAAGCCTGAGAGTCAGAGCCTGTTAATGGAAATCAGAGAAAATATTTGATTCGAATTTAAATGAGGTTTCACAAATGGATTGAATTTAGAGGAGGATAAAAAAAGTTTTATATTGGTTTATGTCTCAAAATTCTGTTCAGTTTTATAAAATGTTTAAACATTGTGAAGTCTGGTTATTTGAAAGATAGCTTTTAATCTATAGTATATTAAAGATTAGTGCTTAAAGTATATTCTGGGTTTAATAGATGTCTAAACAACCTAAACAACCTAAAGCATTTATATTTCCTTAAACATTTTTAAAATATTGAAAATCTTATGGTGAATCTTTAGAGTTAACTTTATTTGGAATATTGAGAAGTATGATGTTATTGAACCCAAGTTTAATATGTTATTGAACCCAAGTTTAAGTGTGTGTGTGTGTGTGTGTGTGTGTGTGTGTGTAGGCATATGCTTTTTCCATCACAAATTATCTTCCAAGGTACATGTCTCTCTCTCCACGTTAGCAAATGAGGTACATTTAAGGGTTTTCATATTCTGAGGTAATACCTTCAGGAACTTGGAGAAGAGAGTAAGATTAGAAATAGTTTAAAATCTCTATATTTAAAATAAAAAGGGGAGGGACTTGGAGAAGGGCTACTTCGATAAAACCTCAGTATGAAAACGGGGAAATCTGAGAGTACAATTGGCTCCTAGAAGGTTGGTTAGCAAAAATATAATACATTTTTAAATAGAAGCAATGATAAGAGCAGCAGTTAAATACATTAGAAAAGATAAAGTATATTAGGCTATCAGGCTCTCACTTCCACCTATATTCCCCATTTAAAAAAATTTTTCTTCAGCTTTTTTTTTTTTTGAGACAGGGTCTCACTCTGTTGCCCAGGCTGGAGTGGTAAACATACACAGTGTTTGTTTATTTTTAACAAACTGCCAAACTATTTTCCAGACTGATATTCTTTTCAGTAATGTACGAGTGATCCCATTTCTCCACATTTTTGCTAGTTATTTGGTGGTAGTGTCACTATTTTTTATTTCAGACACTCTGAAAAATGTGTAGTTTTATCTCACTGTGGTTTCAATTTATATTTGCTTGATGTCTAGTGATATTTAATATCTTTTCCATATGTTTGTCATTTATATATACTATTCAGTAAAATGTCTCTTCGTGCCTTTGGCTCATTTCCTAATTAATTTATTTTTGGATTTTTGCTTTTGAGTTTTCTAAGTTCTTCGTATATAGTCCCTGTTTTTGCAACTGATATGCAAATATTTTCTCCCATTCTGTACCTTGTATTTCACTTCTTAAGAGGATCCTTTTCAGATCAAAAGTTTTAATTTTAACGAAGTCCAATTTATCAGTTTTTCTTTTTTATGGATTGTGCTATTTGTGTAAAGTGTAAAAAGTCTTTGCCTCAGTCACAAAATTTTCTCCCATATGTTTTTCTAAAATATTTGTAGTTTTATGTTTTATATTTGACATTTGAGATAATTTTGCATAAGACTTAAGTTGAGGCTCTATTTATTTACTTATATATTTATGGGTGGGCTTTGTTTGTTTTGCCTTTAGATGTCTACTTGCTCAAACACCACTCACTTAGAAAAAACGCACACTATTTGTTGAAAAGGCTATAGAAATGGAAAGGCTGTTAAAATTCCTCCTTGGAATTGCTTTCACAACTTTTTAAAAAATGAGTTTGCACATATTTGTGCGGGTCTATTTCTGGAATCTCTATTCTATTGCATTGAACTATGCGTCTATCTCTCCCCCAATTCCACACTGTCTTGATTACTGTAGCTACATAATAAGCCTTAATATTTAGTGGAGTGATTCTTTCCACTTTATTCTTCTTTGTCAAGATTGTATTAGCTATTATCAGGCTTGTACTTTTCCGTATAAATTTAGAATAAGCTGATCCAAGTCTACTAAAAAGACCTTGCTGGTATTTTAGTAGAAATGGCATTAAAACTATAGATTAATTTGGAGATAATTGACATCTTTACCATGTTGAGTATTCCAATCCATTAGCAGAGTATATCTCTCCATTTATAAGTTAATTTTTTATCATGCTGTGTTTTTCAACAGTGTTTTGCATTGAGATTAGACTGTGTTTTCATATTTCTAATATACTTACAATGTGCTATTGTCTGCTATGCATGTGATTACACAAAGATTGCGAACATAGCAAAAGGTCTAAAATTATGATTTAGAAAAGAAAGCAGATTTTAAAAACCTAAACGACTATAGCTAAATATACACCATATGTGTATGATGTTGAAATAATTTTAAGTAATAAGATTATAATTGTTTATAGAGGGATTGATAGAGACCTGTAATTTTTCATGAATGCAAAATATATTTTAATTACATTAAAGTCATGCATCAGAGTGTTTTTTAATTACTTTTCTTTAGCCTACAGTTTTATGATACATGTTGTAAAATGAAGACTGGTCCTTGCTTATATTGCAGTATTAACCTGTATCATAAAACAGATGACAAACTCTTAGAACTAAGAGCACTAAATTTAAAAGTGAACAAGAAATGAATTCTTAAGTATCTTAAAACCCTAAAGGCATTTTTAAAAATAAATATATATTTTATTTCATCATACATTGTGGATGTAGAGTCATTGGTGAGAAATATATCCCCTGCATTATAACAATATAATTATTGGAAAGTATAATATTCTTTTAATATCTAATTCAACATGGAATAATAGATTTTCAGCAAAAGGAGGGAGTTGCATATATCTGACCTTTATTGACAGGCCTTTTTGTCTCCAGTAATTACCCAATCTCTATGCGATTCAGTGTTCTTAAGGAAATCCAACTTTTCTTGCTCTTAATTATTTGTTTCCACAAAATACTAGCCAAACACATAGCTATTAGGTCTATGTGAGGTGGACGTATACATCAAAATTTCTTCACAGCCACTTAACCAACGTGCTAAGTTTTCCAGAATCCAAAACAAATCAGTTTAAGAGGTAGGTATGCAAAGACCCTGTAATACTCTAGATTTTAAAAAAGTATCCTTAGTTAAGTACCATGAGAAAATGAGCTAGTTTATGTGCTATGTTAGGAACATAATAGCCAAAAAAAAAAAAAAATAAATAACAGTTGGAATCAGGCACCTTGGTACTTCATGAGTATTTTGCAACAGTATAATAGGGCCTTTCAGTAATGATGTGCTTGCATAGAAATACATGAAAATTACACAAATTTGATATTTTTAGTAACTGAATTTAGTTTAGTTTTGTAAACTCAGAACTCAAGGGTGACGTGCATATGTGCGTGGAGTGACTTACACATACATACACAAGCAATCATATGTACAACTTGGGCTCTTAGAAAGTAGGGCACATTGTCACCAGTTGAATTGTCATATGATTCCTGATTTAAATGATAAGTCGTTCCAATTTCTTCAACCCTTACTTCTTGAGCGAACAGTCCATATGCAAATCAGTATGGAGTGGCAAACTTTAATCTCACGTTCTAGTGAGTATTTTATACTAAAAACCACCAGATAGAGTCATGAAAAGTAGAAATTGTTTATATATACACAAACGCATTTTCTTAAAGTAACTATGAGTTTCATTTACTTTCATCTTATACTTTGTTACTTCAAAGGGAGAAGTTACTGATTTTTCTTATCTCCCTTTATCAGCCATGTCCCTGGCAAGAAATAGAATTCAACATGGATGGTTCAATAAAACAGTACAAAGGAACTACTTTCAGAGGTGTGAATGGGCTTAAAGAAACCAAAAGGGGCTATCGAGGCACCTAGAGACAACCTCCAGTAGGCAATTGTGATATACCTTTCCCAGCCTTACCATGCCTGAAGAGTCAAGTGAAGGAAGTAGGATTTTCTAAATCCAGTAAGAGATAGAGCCATAGAGGAGATTCTTAACAGGATAGTTAGAGATATAAGCTGCCATGGTGGGAAATAAGGCACAAAGAGAGTGGAGGTCAATGTAAAAGGAATGTCCCAGATCTGCTCTCTTTCTGCCTTTCTGTCTTATGTTTATGCCTTCCATTGGCCAAAACCAACAGGAGACTACTCGGCAAGGGAGCTAAGGAAATGCAATTTATAGGGGTCAGCTTCACAGTGACAGAGCAGAACAAAAAAGAGCATAAAATGGATTGGGCCAAGCCAGCAAGAAAAGAGTGTACTGAAATATTTAAAATTTAGAGAGAAAAAATAAATCCACCAACCTAAAATGCTGTATTGGTGAAATTATCCTTCAAAAGTAAAAGAGAAATGAATACTTTATCAGACAAACACGCTGAGGGAATTTGCTGCCAGTAGATCTGCCTTGCAAGAAATGTCAAAAGAAGGACTTCAGAGAAAAAGAAAATGATGTAAGTCAGAAACTTAGATCTACATAAAGAAAGGAAGTACATTAGAGAAGGAAAAAATGAAAGTAAAACAAAATTATCTATTCTTCCTATTCCTGATTGATCTAATAAATATTTGTTCAATATAATAACAGCAAGAAGAAACATTGGATGATTAGAGCTTATGGATAAGAGAAACGAATGCCAGTAATGTTACAAAGGTTCAAGAAGGAAGAGTTGGGAATATTCTGTGTGGGAAAAAACGGATTGGAGTGGGAGCAGAAAAACAAAAATCACAATTCCTTTACGTAAATTAACATCAGAACCATCCTCTAATTAGGAGTTCAAGTTCAACTTCACTTGGTTGTAATCATAATTTCAATTCTTTCTCTTCTTAAAAGCTAAAGGAGCCAGGTGCGGAGTCTCACACCTGTAATCCTAGCACTTTGGGAGGCCGAGAGGGGCAGATCACTTGAGGTCAGGAGTTTGAGACCAGCATGGTCAACATGTTGAAACCCCTTCTCTACTAAAAATACAAAAAATTAGCCGAGCATGGTGGCGGGCGCCTGCAGTCCCAGCTACTCAAGAGACTGAGGCATGAGAATCGCTTAAACCCAGCAGGTGGAGGCTGCATTTTAATTATTTATTCATCTGATGATGGACAGAATCTAAAAAAGTTGAACTCATAGAAATACAGATTAGAATGAAGATTACCACAGAAATGGCGGAAGGGTCCTACCGGGAAAAGAAAGATGTTGATCAAAGGGTACGAATTTTTAGTTAGGTAGGAGGAAGAAGCTTTAGTGATCTATTGTACATGATGGTGACTATAATATATCATAATGCATCATATATTTCAAAATTGCTGAAATAGTGGATTTTAATATTTTCACCACAAAAAAAATATGAGGTAACAGATTCATTAACCTGATTTAATCACTCTGCATTGTAAGCATATATCAAAGCACCATATTGTAACCTATAAATACAAACAAATATTAATTGTCAATGAAAAAGAAATTTAAAAATAAACGACAACATCAATACGACATATGAGACTACCATTATAGTCCAAAAAGTGCACTCCTGGGCATTTATCCCAGAGAAATGAAGACTTATGTTCACACAAATCCTGTACATTAGGGTTCACAGCAATTTTATTAGTAACAGCCCCACACTGTAAACAACAATATCTCTCAGTCAGTGAATGGTGAAACTGTAGGATGTCCACAACCATAAATAAATCAGCAACATATATTAGTAATAAAAAGTAACAAACTATTGCAATATGCAACAATTTAGATGGATCATTAAGCAATTATGCTGGCTGAAAAAAGCTAGTTCGAAAGGATTAAATACCATACAATTCTATTTGCATAATATTCTTGAAATGACAAAATTATAGACATGAAGAACAGATTAATGGTTGCCACATGTTAGGCATGGGACAGGGTGACAAGAGGAAGCTTGATGATTTTATTAAAGGTCAACAGGAGAGATCTTTGTGGTCATGTAACATCCGTATTTTGACTGTCGTGGTGGACGCACTAATCTACATGTGTAAAAATTGCATTTAACTAAATATATACACACACATGAGTATAGGTAAAACTGGGAAAATCTGAATTAGAGAGGTTAATTGTAACAAAATCCTCATTATAATGTTTGAATATAATTTGCAAGATATTACAATTGGGGATAACCGAGCAAAAGCCACACAGGATATTTCACATAGGATCTTTTATATTATTTTTTACAACTGTTCTTAACTCTACAACTCTTTGAAAATAAAATGTTTAACTTTTAAAAAGTTTCTCAAGCTTGCTTAGCTTGTGTCAGAGCTTGGATTCCAATGCAGATATGAAGCCAGAGCCCTTGCTTCCTGTCATTGCTCTATACCGGTCCTCAGAGTTCCCAGGACGCAGGAAGGTAGATTGGAATTGCACTGCAGGCACAATTTAACCACCATAACAGATATCCTAAATTATTTTTTTATTTTTAATTTTTGTGAGTACACAATAGATGTACATATTTAGCGGTACATAAATTCTAAGCTACCAATAGATTTTAGATCATATGGTCTTGTAAAATAGTATGAGCATGCAACGGTTAGGATCATGCTGCCAACCTCTACCACTTAATAGATGGGTGTGTGTGTGTGTTTGTGTGTGCGTCTATGTGTGTGTGTGTCTGTGTGTATTTGTGAATGTGTGACACCTTGGAGAAGAAAATTTTTCACACCTCAGTTTCCCCAATTGTTAAATGAGGGATAACAACTGTTGCTAACTCACTGAGTTACAAATGACTTAATATCGACAATGCACTTAGAATACCACCCAGAACATACTAAGTTGTATGTGTTAGATATTATTATTACTACTACTGATTGCAGAAATGATAAAATATGAAAAATGTTCTTTTAGAAGAAATGTGGCAAACACACTGACATGATTCAATGAACAGCAGTCTAGATTATGTATATTGTCTTATAATTTTATCATCTACGTGACCTAAGTATTAGCCACCGCTGCCATTCCAAGAGTCGATTTTTTGTAAAATTCTGGGAAAAGAGATTTTGCTTCTCACATTTACTCCTAAGTCAGAAGTCTATTGGGTAATCACTTCTCTGGGTTTAGATCCCTCCTGGCCACTCTCAGTGATTCTTTCGCCCAGGCCACTGTTCGCTAAGCTTGTCACCACATGGATTTACTGGACAATTGTCCATTTACTGGACAATGGCTCTTCCTAGTGTGCTGCTGCCCCTCAGCATGGGCTTCAGCCCCACACCAAACATGGAACAGGCTCTCCTCCTGTTACTACTCACCCTTATAGTCCCCACAACTCCATCAGAGAGTTCTGTAGGAATACTGGCCTTTACTGGAGGGTTGGGATTGGGGGTAACTAAGAGAATTACGTTAAGGGATGGAGAAAGGCCAAACTCTATACTAACAATGGCTTGGTCTTGTGTTGTGTAGCAGAAAAGCAGGAAAAAATTAACCCCTACACAACGTTTTTTGTGAGCACGCACCAGTTCCTATTCTTACTCTTTCCTATTGAAGGCTATGGGCTTCCTTTCTAAAAGGCCTCCATTTTCAAGCTAGAAATGACTGCCTTCCTTCAGGGAAATTCCACCCCATAATAGGAAACATTGATCATTTACTATATGCCAAGTATTGATCTAAGCAACTCATCAGAATTAACTACTGTATTTAATTGATTCTGAGATGACATTTCACATTTTAACATTTCTAAAATCAATATGTCTTAAAATCATTAGTGTATAGCGTTTAGGGGTATCCTGTTTTTTAATTTGTTAGTCCTACACACAACAATGGTCTATCTTGCAATTTATTATTTCTTAGATTCAATGACATACAGCAATATAGTTTTCACAACAGTTTAATCATTTAGGGACTTATTTTATCAACATTTTATAGATGTCACAATCGAGTCTCAGAGGTGATACACACCTAGCAACCTCAAGGTTGCTCAAGGTCACACAGCTAGTCAATGGTAGATTTAATCCCAGATAGCCTGATCCAAGAGCCTGTACCCTTAGAATATAATCTGCTCCTCCCAGATTAGCGCCATCTCCCATGGGTCCCCATTAATTAGCAAGGACAGCCTAATCTAATTCATAGTGAGGAAGAGAAACATTTTCCAAAGTTTGCAAAACTTGCCAAGCTGGCCAACTTATATTATTATTATTATTATTATTTTTTTTTTTTTTTATGAGACGGAATCTGGCTCAGTCGTCCAGGCTGGAGTGCAGTGGCGCGATCTCGGCTCACTGCAAGCTCCGCCTCCCGGGTTCATGCCATTCTCCTGCCTCTGCCTCCTGAGTAGCTGGGACCACAGGCACCTGCCACCACGCCCGGCTAATTTTTTTGTATTTTTAGTAGAGATGGGGTTTCACCTTGTTAGCCAGGATGGTCTCGATCTCATGACCTCGTGATCCGCCCGCCTCGGCCTCCCAAAGTGCTGGGATTACAGGTGTGAGCCACTGCGCCTGTCCGTTATAGTATTAAGCAAAACGAGTGCCAATATTTGGCTTCTCCTTCCTTTTTTTTTTTCTTTTTTTTTGACAAAGTTTCCCTCTTGTCACCTAGGCTGGAGTGCAATGGCGCGATCTCGGCTCACTGCAACCTCAGCCTTCCAGGTTCTAGTGATTCTCCTGCCTCAGCCTCTCAAGTAGCTGGGATTACAGGCATGCACCACCACACCCAGCTAATTGTTGTATTTTTAGTACAGATGGGGTTTCACCATGTTGGCCAGGCTGGTCTTGAACTCCTGATCTCAAGTGACCCACCCAACTTGGCCTCCCAAACTTCTGGGATTACAGGTGTGAGCCACCGCGTCCGGACTCTCCTTCCTCTTTCAAGTTGTTTCCTGGGTGTGGGGTGTGGTGGGGAACAGAGGCGTAAATAGCAGGTCCTTTACAGAACCACCTACCACAAAGATGACTACACTTTGCCTACACAAAAAGCTGGCAGAAGCTTTTTGCTTTATTTTGGAGGCCTTATCAAACACCAGGGCAGAATGATCTGTAATCTCTGAGGTGAGAAGCTAGTGAGGATTAACCACTTTTCTCTCCTAGCAAAAACTCCCAAATGGTGAGGCTAGTGGGGAAGGACCGGGTGGTAGTGTTATTGTTCTTCCAGTTACATGTATTTGTAATATTATTCAATGTACCTTATCTATTAATTATGTATATTTTATCAGCTCATTCCCCATCCAACTGTGACAGAGGGAAGTGTGACACAAGAAGTAGTGATTAAATATCTCAACATGTTCATGCATCCAGCGAGCAAAAACCCAGACTACTTTGAAGTAAGGATAGACTATGTCAGCCCCATTACCAAATATTTGAGGGAAACGGTTGTACAATATAAAACCATTTCTGAATTTTAGAGGAGTCAAATATAAGGTTTCCAAATAATATAAAACGCACGCCATTGGTTTCCTCCCTCCCTCCCTCCCCTTCCTCCCTCCTTCCCTCCCTTCCTCCCTTCCTTCCCTCCCTCCCTCCCTCTTTCTTTTTCTTTCTCTCTTTTTTTTTTGAAATGGAGTTTCACTCTTGTTGCCCAGGCTGGAGTACAATGGCGCGATCTCGGCTCACTGCAACCTGTGCCTTCCAGGTTCAAGCGATTCTTCTGCCTCAGCCTCCCAAGTAGCTGAGATTACAGGCGTGTGCCACCACGCCCGGCTAATTTTGTATTTTTTTAGTAGAGACAGAGTTTCACCATGTTGGTCAGGCTGGACTTGAACTCCTGACCTCAAGTGATCCACTCACCTTGGCTTCCCAAAATGCTGGGATTACAGGCACGAGCCACAGTGCCCCGCCAGTTATCTTTCTTTGGCTACACCTTTTTGAGGTAGGACTTTCATACCACTGGGCAATAGCAACTGAATATAGGAATGAACTTAATATTTCTCATACATGAAGATTATGGCATTTCATTTCTATTTGTGAAGTGGGCACGGATATATTAAAAATATAGAAAACCTTACTGTTCTCATTTAAAATTTTTTCACGATATACATCACATTTCATACAAAATGAAAATATGTATTGCTCGATTTTGATATATCTTGTACTTGATTGTCAATTAAAATGAATTAATTTTTGTATTGAAAAATTTAGTAATAAAAACTGAGAATGTGAACTACACACCCATATACGTGCACAACAAAAGCTTAACATGGTATCTATAATAAGCCTACAGAGTTCTTTTAAACTAAACATAATAGTTGCCAAAAGGGATTCATAGCTTTTGAATTGATTTAAAATTAACCTCCCTGTCACTTCCAAATGAATTTCCATTTATGTAACATAAAATTGTCCCATGACAAAACTTTCAGCCGGAATACATTTATTCCTTCTTGAGTCTATCATTTGCAAAGCACTATGGTGTGCCACTTGGAAAGGGATCTAAATTAGAATTTTTCCCAAAAGCCATAACCAGGTATATGACATGCAGCATTTTAAAGGGTACTCTTGAATTCATTTTGATGCCTGTACTCACTTGAGCACATATGTTTTACAACTTTGAAGACCTCCCTCTCTTAGCTGGGTTCTAGCTCACACAATGCTCCAGCATTGAAGATGTTGAAAAAAGATGTGTCTGAATATTCACACACACACAAGTGATAATACCTACATAATACTGGGTTGATGGTTTATTAAAACACAAGAAGCATCTAAACTGCCCCACAAATATCATGCATATTTAGAAATACCAGATTCATTTTGCATATCTTGTGGATTCCTTATACAGCACCCTCTCTCCCCCCTGTTTGTGTGTGTATGTGTGTGTGTGTTAATGTGTGTGTCTGTGTGTAGATGTGTAGAAGGAATCTAGTATTTCTAAATTCACATGATAATTGTGGGGCATTTTAGATGCTTTTTGTGATTGAATAAACCATTAACACAGTATTGTGTAAGTAGAATTATTCACATTTTGCAGATAAGAAAACTGAGATTTAGTAAGTTTTTTGTCCAAAGCTATAACCGAGATTTTAAAGTCCTGTGACGTTAAACCCTAAAACATATGCTTTTAGTATCATAATCTTTACCATGGTTACCAGATGACATGTTAAAAATCTGCTAAGTAAAGGATAGGACACCAATAACCCAAATTATTAAATGCTATCTAGGTTTAAGTGAGGGCTTCCATCAATACTGAGAAAACTTTGCCTGCATGCACCCTTGCTACTTACCAATTAACAGCATCGCCGTTATATATGAGCTTGTTAAGTAAGATGTTGAATACTGGCCGGGTGTGGTGGCTCACACTTGTAATCCCAGAACTTTGGGAGGCTGAGGGGGTTAGATCACTTGAGGTCAGGAGTTCGAGACCAGCCTGGCCAACATGGTGAAACACCGTCTCTACTAAAAATACAAAAATTAGCTGGGTGTGGTGGTGGGCGCCTGTAATCCCAGCTACTCTGGGGGCTGAGGCAGGAGAATCACTTGAACCCCGGAGGTGGAGGTTGCAGTGAGCCGAGATCCCACCACTGCACTCCAGCCACCACTGAACTCCAGCCTGGGTGACAGAGCAAGACTCTGTCTCCAAAAAAAAAAAAAAAAAAAAAAAAAAATGTCGAATGTCAGGCACATTCCAAACCTACTGAAACAGACTCTAAAATTTAACAAGAACCCCAGATTATTTAGACACAGTTATGTATGCAACAGCTATATTCTACAGGTGTAACAAGAAACAAAGCTAAGGACCAATCTAAACATTTCCTAAGGAAAAAAAAGGAGGGCAATACCTTTACTTATTCCTTTATTACTTTCAAAAAGATTTTATAATGATTTGCTAAATTCTGTTCGCCCTGATCAGATAATATGTCTGCATCTAAGTTAAAAAAATCCAGAATCAAAATCAAACTTGTAAAATTCTTGTTTTCAAGCTTATTTTTTAAATGAACATAGAGAATTGTATGTATTTATTGTGTTCAACATGATGGTTTGAAGTACATATACATTGTGATATGGTTAAATCTAGCTAATTAACAAATGCATTCCCTCACATGTTATCATTTAACATCCACTCTCTTAGTATTTTTCATTTGAAAAAAATTAGGTTGAGCATCCCTAATCCAAAAATACACACTCTGAAATGCTCCAAAATCTGAAACTTTTTGAGCACTGAAATGATGTCATACGTGGAAAATTGGACATATAAGTATTTAATGCAAACTTTTTTTCAAGCACAAAACTGCTAAAAATACTGTATAAAATTACCTCAAAGTTACGTGTATAAAGTGCAGGAAAACATAAGTGAATTTGTGTTTAGTCTTGGGTCCCATGCCCAAGATACCTTATTATGTATATGTAAGCATTCCATAAAATCCCAAATCTGAAACACTTCAGGTCCCAAGCATTTTGGATAAGGAATACTCAATCCGTATCATCATTAACTATAGTCACCATATTGTACAATAGATCTCTTGATTTTATTTCTCATATCTAACTGTAAATATGTATTATTTAACCGTTATCTTCATAATCCTCCCTCTCTCTTAACTACCTCACCTTCTGGTAACCAACATTTTATTCTCTACTTTAAAATCAACCTTTTCAGATTCCGCATAAAGTAAGATAACGTGGTATTTTTTCTTTCTCTGCCTGGCTTATTTAACTTAATATCCTCCAGGTTCATTCATGTTGCTGCAAATGGCAGGTTTCATTCTCTTCATGGATGAACAGTATTCTATTGTGTACGTATACCACATTTTTTCTTTTATTCATTCACCAGTTGATGGACCCTTAGGTTGATTCCATATCTCAGCAATTGTGAATGTGCTGCAATAAACTTGGGTGTGCAGATATCTCTTCAACGTGTTGATTTCATTTCCTTTCGGTATATAGCCAGTAGTGGGACTGCTGGATCATATGTTAGTTCTAGTTTTAATTTTTTTGAGAAAGCCCCTACTGTTTTCAATAATGGTTATATTAATTCACATTCCCACCAACGGTGTGCAAGGGTTCCCTTTTCTCTACCTTCTCAGGAACACTTGTTATCTTTTGCCTTCTTGATGTCATTCTAACAGGTTTGAGTTGATATCTCACTGTGGATTTATTTACATTTACCTGATGTTTAATGATGCTGAACATGTTTTCGTATTCCTGTTGGCTATGTGAATGTCTTCTCTTGAGAAATGCCTGCTCAGATCTTTTGCTCATTTTTAATTGGGTTATTTGTTTTCTTGCTATTTATTTGTTTGAGTTACTGATCTATTTTGGCTACTAACCCCTTATAAGATGTATGGTGTACAAATATTTCATCCCATTCTGTAGGTTTTCTCTTCACTCTGTTGATTCTTTCCTTTACTGTGCAGAACTTTTTGAGTTTGATGTAATCCCATTTGTCTATATTTGGTTTTGTTTCCTGTGCTTTTGAGGTCATATCCAGAAAATTTTTGCCCAGATCATAGTCATGGAGACTTCCCTTATGTTTCCTTCTGGTAGTCTTATAGTTTCAGGTCTTACGTTTATGCCTTTAATCCATTATGAGTTAATTTTTGTACATGGTCTGATATAAGGGTCTAATTTTTTCTGCATGTGGATATCTATTTTTTCCAGCACCATTTATTGAGAAGATTGTTCTTTTCGCATTGGATATACCTGGTACCATTGTTGAAAATCAGCTGGCTATAATTCTGTGGATTTATTTCTGGCCTCTGTTTTATTCCATTGGTCTATGTGTCTGTTTTTATGCCAGCACCATCTGTTTTGGTTACCATAGCTTTGTAGTATATTTTGGTGTCAAGTAGTGTGATGACACCAGTTTTGTTCTTTTTGCTCAACATTATTTTGGGTCTTCAAGCTCTTTTGTGGTTCCAATTTCTGTAAAAAATGTCACTGGTGTTTTGATAAAGATTGCATTGACTGTAGAAAGCTTTGGGTAGTGTAGGAATTTTAACAATATTAATTCTTCCAATACATGAACACAGAATACCTTTCCATTTATTTGTGGCTTCTTCAATTGCTTTCATCAATGTCTTACAGTTTCCAGGTCTTTCACTTCTTTGGTTAAATTTATTCCTTTTTTTGTGGGGGCGGGTGGACAGAGGACAGAGTCTTGCTCTGTCGCCCAGTCTGGAGTGCAGTGTCATGATCTCTGCTCACTGCAACCTCTGCCTCCTGGATTCCAGCGATTCTCATGCCTCGGCCACCCAGGTAGCTGGGATTACAGGTGTGTGCCTCCACATTAGGCTAATTTTTGTATTTTTAGTAGAGACAGGGCTTCACCACGTTGGTCAGTCTGGTTTCAAACTCCTGACCTCAGGTGATCCGCCAACCTCGGCCTCCCAAAGTGATGGGATTACAGGCGTGAGCCACCGTGCCCGGCCAGTTCCTAAGTATTTTTTGTAG
The DNA here is from genome assembly GCF_000001405.40 of Homo sapiens. Classification (NCBI taxonomy): domain Eukaryota; kingdom Metazoa; phylum Chordata; class Mammalia; order Primates; family Hominidae; genus Homo; species Homo sapiens. The sequence goes on from NC_000023.11 coordinate 33,242,084, forward strand.
CTATTGTAAATGGGATTTTTTAAAAATTTATTTTTTATTTTCCCTAAGTTATTGGGGTACAGGTGGTATTTGATTGCATGACTAAGTTCTTTAGTGGTGATTTGTGAGATTTTGGTGCACCCATCACCCAAGCAGTATACACAGCACCGTATTTGTAGTCTTTTATCCCTTGCCTCCCCCAACTCTTCTCCCCAAGTCCCCAAAGTCCATTGTATTATTCTTATGCCTTTGTGTTCTTATAGCTTATCTCCTACATATCAGTGAGAACACACGATGTTTGGTTTTCCATTCCTGAGTTACTTCACTTAGAATAATAGTCTCCAATCTCATCCAGGTCACTGCAAATGCTGTTAATTTCTTCCTTTTTGTGGCCACAGTTATACCACAGTTTCTCTTTATCCACTCGTTGATTGATGGGCCTTTGGGTTGGTTCCACGATTTTGCAATTGCGCTTTGTGTTGCTGTAAACTTGTGTGTGCAAGTATCTTTTACATATAATAACTTATTTTTGTCTGGGTAGATATCTGGTAGTGGGATTGCTGAATCAAATGGTAGTTCTACTTTTAGTTATTTAAGGAATCTCCACACTGTTTTCCATAGCGGTTGTATACTAGTCTACATCCCCACCAGCAGTGTAGAAGTGTTCCCTGATCACCACATCCATGCCAACATCTACCGTTTTTTGATTTTTTGATTATGGCCATTCTTGCAGGAGTAAGGTGGTATCACATCGTGGTTTTGATTTGCATTTCCCTGATCATTAGTGATGTTGAGCATTTTTTCATATGTTTGTTGGCCATCTGTAGATCTTCTTTAGGGAATTGTCTATTCATATCCTTAGAACACTTTTTGATGGGATTGTTTGTTTCCTTCTTACTGATTTGTTTGTGTTCATTGTAGATTCTGGATATTAGTCCTCTGTCAGATGTATAGATTGTGAAGATTTTCTACCGCTCTGTGTGTTGTCTGTTTGTTTACTCTGCTGACTGTTCCTTTTGCCCTGCAAAAGCTCTTTAGTTTCATTAGGCCCCAGCTATTTATCTTTGTTTTTACTGCATTTGCTTTTGGGTTCTTGGTCATGAAATCCTTGCCTAAGCCAATGTCTAGAAGGGTTTTTCCAATGTTATCTTCTAGAATTTTTATAGTTTCAGGTCTGGATTTCTTTTTCAGATAGATTGCTATGGGAATGCTACTGATATGTTGATTTTGTATCCTGCAATTTTACTGAATTTGTTTATTATTTCTAACAGTTTTTGGTGGAATTTTTTACACCAGTCAAAATGGCTATTATTAAAAAACAAATAAACAAAAAAATCTCCACATGTTGGCAAGGATATGGAGAAAAGACAATGCTTAAATACGGTTGGTGACAATGTAAATTAGTACATCTATGAAAAATAGAATGGAGATTTCTCTAAGAATTAAAAATAGAGCTACCATTTGATATAGTATTCTCACAACTGGGTATCTACCCAAATGAAAAGAAATAATTATATTAAAAAGATACCTCACTCATATGTTTACTGCAGCACTATTCACAATAGCAAATATATAGAATTTACTTAAGTTGATTGGATGAGGAAAATGTGGTATATATACACAATAAAACATTATTTAGCCACAAAAGGAATAAAATCATGTCTTTTGCAACAACATGGATGGAACCGGAGGCCATTATCTTAAGTGAAACAATTCAGACACTGAAAGACAAATACTGCATGTTCTCACTTACATGTGGGAGCAAAATAATGTGTACATTTGAAAGTAGAGTGTGGAATGATTGACAATGGGGAATCAGAAGGGTGGAGGCATGGGAGGGGGTTGTATGATGAGAAATTACTTAATGTGTACAATGCATATTATTCAGGTGATGAATGCCCTAAAATAAAATTACACTTGTATTCCTTAAATATATACAAATAACATTTTTAAAAATAAAAATAGGGGTTCTATAACATTATGTCATCGGCACACAGGGATAACTTAACTTCTTTTTTTCCTATTTGGATGCCTTTTGTTTATTCTTCTTGCCTAATTACTTCCAGGACTGTGTTGAATAGAAGTGGAGACAGTGAGTATCCTCGTCTTGTGCCAGATCTTAGAGGAAAAGCTTTCAACTTTTCCCCATCCAGTATAATTCTTGCTTTATTGAAGAAAATGCCATACTTCTGTCAACCACTGGTATAGACAGCTGATTATATAAGTTGGATCTTATTAATAAGTGAGAAAGTCAGCAAAATTAAAGTGTTGCTGCTTTTTATATAATTTTAAAGGATTCCGAAAACAATATGATTACGATAAAATCTGAAAAAAGTAAATGGATATCTATACCAGTTTGCTCAGAACTATATAAGGATGGTATCAGGTTAGCTTGGTCAAATACAAGTACATAACAAAAAAGTAAAATAAATATTTTTAAGGCTGAGTTCAACTCAAGCTATTTCTACTCTGAGTTTGCAAGTTTAGTTATTTGATTTCAAATGATCCTTTTGCTTGGTTTGATTTTCCCCGAAATGGTCAATTGTGAATAAATTGTTTGATTTGATTCGTAGTTTTTTAACTGAGTAGGCAAGGTCTCAGATTTACTTCTCTTGAAGACTAATAAAGAAGACATTAATATCTAACCTGTTTACAGGAACAGAGTTTCTTGAGCACAGCTGAGCTTCCCAAATGCCATAGAAACAAAACGAAATGGAAGAATTTATCTGGTAGGAGTGTATTTTGATGTGACCTAATAGAATTCAATGAAGCTTCATTTTATAACTTGCTATACAATTAATATATATTGACAAGCCCTAGTGTCTTCAAGTCATGCATAAAATGCTTTTGAAACAAATTATCAGCATTTATTTGTGAGTTAAATAACTTTTCTAAGTGTATCATGAGAAATGGGTTAAACACAACTTTTTGGCATATTCTTCCTGCTACCACTTAAAAAAGCACATCATTTGTATATTTCATTTTCAAATATGTGACTTCCTTCCTGTTCATGATTTAATCCATATTTTTAAACATAAAATAAGCTAGCTTAACTTTTATTACAACAGAAGTCTGTTTATCTGGAGTGAGGTTTTAAATATAGACATTTTTGCTCCTTCAGTATTGTTTTAAACTAATGCATTTCAATAAGACTAGTTTATTATACATTGTACTGATAGTTAAAGTAACTGTTAATGGCTATTTTTTCAGGGCTCTGAAAAGTAAAAAAAAAAAAAGAAAAATCACTACCCGAAATATCATTCTTAGGAAAAAGCTGGGAGTTAATTGGAAAGTGAATAGAAACACTCACTCTGAATAGTCAAAACTGATGAAATTAATAAAACTACATATGTTGCATTTATTTATGTTCTTTGTTAATAATCAGTCACTAAACCTATAATTTTTCCATTATTCACTTACCAAAAAATAAAAGGAAAATTTAGAAGGTGAACTAGATCTATTCTGTGTTGTTGTCTTGTTCTGCTGAAGTTATGAATGATTTGTGATGAAGTCCAAGTATGGGCCTCAGTCTAGAGAACTGGCTGGCCAAAACAACTATGAATTTTAACAGAATTGCATGAAGTGCTAGAATCTCAGTTTAAATGAATGCAGTGGCTACTTCTAAATAGTCAGTAGACTCTACTTTGTATCATAGAAGTAATACTTGTAAATTTACAACTTTGTTGATGAGTTTTGCATGATTCCACATTTTTAAAGAAAAATTTGCTAAACTGAACATATTTTTGTAATCCATTAAGAACAGAATGAAAACTGAATAACAATATGATCTATGTTGTACCCAAAACCTAATGTATTTTCCTGTAAAAAAATAAAAATCTAGCTTCTGTAACTAGGAACACTACAAAACTGAAACTGTAGACTCTTTAATTTCAGGGTTCATGAAGGAATTTTTTTCCATACTGACATGTTACATTAATACTCTAGGAATTAATGTTAGAAGTATTTGAACTAGTATTCAATATATGTTAATGAAATGTAGTACATATCCCCATTGGTTGTGACCTAATCGTTTTTAAATACGTACATTACATTTGATAGATGCTCAATTATGAATCCTGCTTTTTCAAGGTGGAATATCTGAGAAACTTGTTTCACTGATCAAATGTCCTGATGTGATATTAAGATACAGTACTAAACAGCCTGAGGCAGTGAGCATTTAGTCTAATCTGGCCAGTGCAGAACACACCTGGGCCTCCCTGGGGTTGCTGTGGTGACCATTCTGCCATCTAGTCCTCAGCATCATCAGGGTCAACAAGCTAACAGTGGCAACAGAGTTGTTTCATTTATACAGTTCCAGTGATATCGTTGCCTTCCTGGCTGTGTTGTGTTTCTAATGTTGCTCCTAGCTCTTTGCCACCATTTCTAATTCTTCTGCTCCCCAAGAGTCTTTGATATTATCTTTAGTGTGGCCCTTACTGTTTACCCTAGAGATAGTGAATTCTGTTACTTGACAATTTAGGACACTGATGAACAGAATAAAGTATAATTGTATCAATGTCTATAAGTAGCCATTTAAAAATTTATACATAAGAATCATTCTCTCAGGCATTAAATGAAATTAGAGAAATTATTTCATTTTTGGTTTTTTTTGCTTGTTTGTTTGTTTTGTTTTGTTTTTTTGAGATGGAATCTCGCTCTGTTGCCCAGGCTGGAGTGTGGTGGCGCGACCTCAGCTCACTGCAACGTCCACCTTCCGGGTTCAAGAGACTCTCCTGCCTCAGCCTCCTGAATAGCTGGGATTACAGGCGCACACCACCACCCCCAGCTAATTTTTGTAGTTTTAGTAGAGACGGGGCTTCACCATGCTTGTCAGGCTGGTCTCGAACTCCTGACCTCATGATCTGCCCACCTCAGCTTCCCAAAGTGCTGGCATTACGGGCATGAGCCACCATGCCCGGCCAATTATCTCGGTCTTCAAACTCTGTTTTAGTACTTAAACAAAGCCTTAAACTGCTTCAAGAACACTGAATGATAAATGAATTATTCTACATTGAAAATGAACTTTTATCAATTTTAGTTGAATATGGTTTCTTCTTCCTTGAGTCCAGTTAAAGGTAGCTTGGGAGCAATACTCAAGTCACATCACATGTAGTTAAACTTTTATATTCCGAATCAGTCCTTTAAGTAAGACAGCCAGGGGTTGATAAACTAACCAAAATCCTATCCGTCACATCCATTACAAGCATTACAATGTAACAGATAACCTGAATTTTCTTATATATTTTGTTTCTTATATTCTTAAAATTTAGTAGCAAATACATGTTCATTCAATTTGCCTATTGAAAATTTATCATATTTAGCTTTGGGGAAATATTTTTAATTTTTGAGATTGAAATATAAAATACTCTGTTAGTACAATTCCTAGAATATATTTAACTTCTGTACTCCATATGTTTAGAAGAATGAGAAGTGTATTGAAAATTGTATCTTATAGTTGTTCTACTATAAAACCAATTGTAAATATCATTCAATGGATAAATTATTATTATCATTGTTGTTATTGTTATTTAATCCCAAATTGGTCTACTTAATGTGGCTAAAATTTCTCATAGACTCTAATTCAGAAAATATATTTTGTTTTAAGTTATTTGCACTAACTACTTGTGATAGATATTTAAAAATATATGTGACTCATCCTGAATAGTGATTTTATGCACAGCTGTAGATGCAAATGAAGTATATTTATTAACTAACAAATGCTATAAGCATTTTTATGTTGGTAAATTAAGACTGGGTTGCATGATAGTTGAATTTAATTCATAGAACACAATTATCAACTACCCTAAAATAATTTACATAACTATGACAAGTTATATCAAAATTTACTCTCAAATTAAGTTGGTTATTCAAAATATTCATTTTTATGTCCATTCTGTATAAATACAAGTGATTGCCATACTGTAAGACTCATGCTCATAATGGAGAATAAATAATATTTTATTGTATTTATTTATTTATTTACTTATTTATTTTTTTGAGATGGAGCCTCGCTCTGTGGCCCAGGCTGGAGTGCGGTGGCGCGATCTCAGCTCACTGTAAGCTCCGCCTCCCGGGTTCACACCATTCTCCTGCCTCAGCCTCCCCAGTAGCTGCGACTACAGGCACCCGCCACCACGCCTGACTAATTTTTTGTATTTTTAGTATAGACGTGGTTTCACCGTGTTAGCCAGGATGGTCTCGATCTCCTGACCTCATGATCCGCCCACCTCAGCCTCCCAAAGTGCTGGGATTACAGGCGTGAGCCACTGCGCCTGGCCGCGAGAATAAATAATATTTTCTAAGAAAATTAACTTTTAATTTTTCACCTAAAAATCCTAATTTTCCATTTTTTTCTATGAGGAAATTATCATTATTTTATTTTTGTTTTAAAAACAAGTTTCACAGATAGGAGTATGTTGTGTGCTCTATTTTATTTTTTCACCCATTTTTATTCTCACATTTTATTTTTAGTAAAACTAATTGTCATTTTTTTACAGACCAGAAACTCTGAAAATTAGAAAGTGACATTCATGAATGTAGTTATTAAAAAATACTCTCCATCTTTCACAGGAATAAATGTTAGAAGTATGCTTATTTATGGCATAATTACCAGAGGAAGAGAAAATTATCCTATCAATTGAATTTTATCTAGAAAATGAAAAGTATTGTTAGTAATTCCTCAGTAAATGATACAGCTATACATAATAATATATAACTCTAATTTAGATATGTTCTTAACGATTTGCTGAAACAACCCAGAAATGATTGATCCAGAATCATGAGCAAATTAGATAAATCATTGGCAACAACTTAAAAAATCAACAATTTGAAAATTAAAATTATTTTTGGTATATAGTATGTGCCAAGCTTAGTATTAAACATAAAGCCAATAAATGCAATTCAGCATGTGAAAATGTAACTTTGAATTAGGAAAATTGCAGAATGCAGAGGGTTGTATTTATTACTCTATGTTTCTTCAATCTTGTTATTGACAGAAATTTGTATGTATAGAAAGCTGTATGAAAATAAGTAACTTTCCATACAAAGCCCAAATAACCACCCTTTATTATCGCTCAAATTTATTTATTTTTATTTATTTATTTTTGAGATGGAGTTTTGCTCTTGTTGCCCAGGCTGGAGTGCAATGGCACAATCTCGGCTCATTGCGACCTCCACCTCCTGGGTTCAAGCCATTCTCCTGCCTCAGCCTCCCTAGTAGCTGGGATGACAGGCATCTGCCACCACACCTGGCTAATTTTTGTATTTTCAGTAGAGACCGGGTTTCACCACGTTGGCCAGGCTGGTCTCGAACTCCTGACCTTAGGTGATCTGCCCACCTTGGCCTCCCAAAGTGCTGGTATTACAGGCATGAGCCACCATGCCTGGCCAATTGCTCTCATTTAAATTCAAATTATGTAGCATTTATGCTCCCCATATCATTATTGCATTTACTTCATAAGACATACTTACATAAATTTGATTTGATTGGGATATTACTTACGACATTATGTTAAAGATACATTGCACTCTTGGCCTGCCCATTTTTAACAACGTAGGAAACAGCTGCAAACACTCCTTACTCCTGCAAAAATGCAAGGAATTGAAAATAACCTATGTCCAATCATGTTGCACTTTTGCAAACATTCCCTACCTCTCCCCAAATGAAGTAACACAGTTTTGAATAATTTCTTCATCATTTCTTTTCTTTTTATATGTTTATTAAACACACACATATTATTCCTAAAGACTAAAATTTTATTTTCAATATGTTTGGCTTTATGGAGATGATATTTACCATGTAGTATGTTCCATTCAGGTATCAAGGGATACTGTACTCAGAGAATGCACCATCTGACATTTTTATTAAATTTATTGGATTTAATATTGGGTTTTTTGAATTATAATGTTGGATTTATTTTTTTCTTTGGATATTATACTGCTAACATTCATCGATATTGTTTTGTGTTGTTGTGGTTCTTTTTTCAGTTCTGTATAATAGCCCACATAGTAGTAAACTATTCATTATATATATATATATATATATATATATCAATGTACACTTGTATGTATGTATGTGTGTGTATGTGTGTATTAGAACAGTGGTCCCCAACCTTTTTGGCACTAGGGAACAGTTTTGTGGAAGACAATTATTCCACAGACAGGGGTTTGGGGGAGGTGAAAATCTGGGGGTATAGGGGTTGTGGTTTGGGGTTGAAACTGTTCCACCTCAGCTCATTAGGCATTAGATTCATATAAGGAGCCTGCAACTTATTTCCCTCACATGCGCAGTTCACAGTAGGGTTGGCTCTCCTATGAGAATCTAATGCTGCCACTGATATGACAGGAGGCAGAGCTCAGGCAGTAATGTTTGCTCACCTTCTGCTCACCTCCTGCTGTGCAGCTGGGTTCCTAACAGGCCACAGACCAGTACCGGTCCTTGGCCCAGGGGTTGGGGACCCTTGTATTAGAAGACACACATATACAAAACCATTACAAATCACAAACATATATACATATATACAAACACATATATAAATACGTATTGTCTATTTTTAATTCAAGGTAAGTTTTGGCAAATAGAAAGTAATGCTTTCTTAACTATCATATTTATTCAAATATATGGAAATTTGCCTCCAAATATCAAATTTGTTAAACAGGTGGAGAATAGAAGTAACTATTCATATCAAAACCATTTAAAATATAAATATAATTATCAAAACTCTACTATATATTCTAAATTATATATTTTTTATTTGTGCAGAGGAATGCAGTTGTAAAGAAAATAAATAAATTTATATTTTGAAATGGGGCAAAAAAGATGTCAAATATTGAGATATAAAAAGTAGTACCAGATAAAAGATGCATAGATAACCCTAAGAATGAGAATCACATTTTATATGTAGGGCTAAGCCATTTCCTATATATATTTTCTGGCTGACTAATTAGCAATGGTAAAGATCAAGTTTTACATCAATGCTTTCAAATCATGGTGTTTATTTTTTCTACTTGCTGAGCCCGTACTTTGGAATTATATATTACTATATTTTATTGTGTGCCCTCTTGAATGTATTTATTCATGTAGCAAAAATAAAAATTAATTAATTAATAAGATAAAGGTAATTATGTAAGATTAAGAAAGTCACAGAAACATAGAAACTGACCTAAGTTAGTGCGTACTATAATAAAACCTACTTATTTCTTTGTCTATGTCTAAAAATGCATTTCTTTCTCTATGTCTAAAAATGCACAATTCAAATTCCAGATAAACTCTAGACCTGCCCATCCAGTTTCCTCCTCTTTGTCAACAGAACTCCAATTCCATTCGGGTATCAAGGGAGACTGTGCACAAGCAATGTACTCATCCCAAAGAACAAATCATGATTGGCCAGGCTAATCATGTTGATCCTGTTCTTTTTCTGCCAGGGACTGCCTGGAATGGAGTGAAATTGAGATGCCTAAACCAATGACAGAAAAGCTACCTCTGCACTCCTTGCTACATGAAATAATTCACCTTTTTTCCCGAGCTACATTTATCTGGTATTCAGGTATATAGTGTTACATGCAATAGATATATGACCATCAGTGTTATATGCAGTAGATATATGACCAATCTAGTTTTTTAATATAATGGTATATTGGATATTTTTTATACTATCAAGGGATTCTTCTCCCCAGAGATACCAACTGAGAAAACCTGTGGTTGGCAGTGCAGGTGGCTTGTGGGCCACATCTTGAGAAAATAATGTCTTAAAGGAATTCCAGTGAAATAAATAAATAAGGAAAATATGTTTAGTTTAACTTGTGAAGAAAGCAGCAAATGTTAATGTGTGAAATAAGAACTTTCTAGTTGGGGATACCCTTAGAGCTACAATAGTTTACATTTACTGAGGATTCAAACAATTCCAACTGAAATAGAAAGCAATTTTATGTCAATACTTAAACTACTCAAGCATTTAGAACATGTTACTAAAATGTTAGTATATAATCTCTGAGGTAGCCTATAAAAATGTTTCAGCTTTCTTTTTACAAATGGAAATAAATATCTTGAAGATGAAGCTAGAAACAGCGTTTTCTCGTGTTCAAGAGGCATGGTATTGAGAAACAATTTACAGAATGAAATGAGTGAAAGAGGAAGCTACAGTCAGATATTTTGAGATGATTTACAGGAAAGCATAAAACAAACAAAAATAAAACAAAACAAAAACAAGGCAGCTACCAGAGAGAGATACTGACAGATTTTTTTCTTAAGTACTATCTCCTTTTGTCTTTTAGTGGGGTCTATCCACCTCACTCACTTCCTTTAGCTTAAGTTGCCTTCCCTTTACCAAATTTTGCCTCTTATCATTAACAGCCACCTATCTGTCTTCTCTCTGCTCTCCACAGGGCTTTCTTTGTTCCTTGAACTTGCAAAGGGACAGTTAACTAATCTCATTAATGGACATGACATTTAAAACTTGATGTTCTACATTCTTTGCTTTAAAACATGTGGCATTCATGTTAGCCTTAGGAAGAACTAGTCCTCCCTGAGAATGTAGGGGATTTGGGGTTGAATGGGGGGGGTGACAGGTGACTCATCACATCCTGGAGAGGATCCAATGCCACATTGGTTTGCATTTTGCTATTCACAAGTCACTATGATAATTTCGCTACTTAAAAAATGATATACCATCTGAAATTTTTATTAAAGCAATATATACATACACACACATTTAGAAGATCATCACACAAATAACCATTTATTTGCTTAGCTTAATGTTGCTTAGGTATTTCCTCATAAGGGAAAAACCCAGAATCAGTCATTTATATTTATATTTAAAATGTGAAAGAAACTTCTTACATGTTTGTATATGACAGCAACAATGCTAAATTTTTTCTTGATTCACTTTAGCCAATAATACTTTCTGTTATGATTTAGTTGGATAATTCTGGATTATGAGTCAGTTTGAAATGAGGCCATGACAAAAATAAAATCAAAGTAAAACTAAAAATATCGAACATCAAGAGAGTATCCATCTCCTAAGGGTTTGAGGTGATGAGTATCCCAATTATCCTGATTTGATCATTATACATTACATAAACACAGCAAAATCTTATGTGACCTCAAAATATGTACAACTATTATGTATCAATAAAAGGATCCACCTCCTATTGAGAAACTATACTTGAACCCATTTTAGTATGTATATGTCAGGTACATACTGCAAATAATAATTGGAACTTTGGTATGGACCAAGAATAATGAATGGACATTTATCTACAGGTTTATTTAGACATATTAGTTCTTGATAACAATTGATTATGAAGACACGAACTACTTCTACTAATTTAATAGAACTAGAGAATCAGGGAAAGACAAGCTGTATAGAATTTAAAGTGGAAGAATTTATTATAGAGTTAAAGCTTCATCCATTTTATTAATGCTAAAAATAGATACATTTATCATTATAGAGTCAAACAAAAAAATTTCAATGAGTGAATTTTAATGTACTGTAGACTGTGGAGATATTGAAAGTTTAACTGAAGAAAATCTGTCTAGCTTTACTTCTCATCCATTAAATAGAGCAAGTATGCTTGGCAAAAGAATACCTAAAAAAATTTCCAGTCCCTTCTCTAAGTGACAAAATTCTGATGGCCTCTCGATATTTTACAACAGGTATAAGCGGTTATGAAGTAAAAATATCACCGTCTCTGATGGTCATCTAGTCTCTAATGAGGGAAACCAATAAATCCATAAATACTAATGAAATTTTTCAAACTCTAATCCCCATTCTTAGTTATCAATTTTTGTTATTTTAATAGTAATTTATTCATGTATAAAACTGGAAAATCCCATCATTAATTAGCAATAGCTCTTTATTAATATTTTAAAATAGTTTCCAAACTAAACTCTTAATATGCCTAATGTCATGATCCCTTTAATGAGAAACTAGCCATTAAAAGAAAATAGCTTATACTCATTTCTATATATAAGTACATATTATTTTGTAAACAGTTAGCAGAAAATTTCACCGTTAAAAATGAAATATTTTCCATTTTTGCATTTGAATATCTGAGAATATGTTCCCGATATTCTTGCCAGTTTATAAACCTATATTTTAACAGTACTGGTAATGCTTAATTATACACAAATTTGCTTTATTTCACATCACAAGGCTTTGTTTGTCTGGAGCATACACTATTGTTTACACTGTACAGTTCTTTTTGTTACGATTTGGATGCTTTTAAAAGAGATTTTAAATATTTGCTCTCAGGTTTATTAAAAAACATAGACTTGAAAAAAGATATGATATATTCAATTATAAAAATTGTATTAACAAATTCTAAAAGTTTATCATTATCCTAAAATTTGGGGTCTGGGGCAAATTAGAGATATGCAAAAATGGTTAGCAAATTTTTGAATGTGTCTTAGAAAAAAAATTTTCACTTGCGACCTTAGGCTTTTCCCCCTATATTTTGATATAGACTTCACAATATAGTTCTTATAATAGTGGGGAGATACAAAACATTTGAAATCAATTTTAATTGACAACTTTAAGATTTATTATTTGATGTGATGATTCGAAAGAAATAAATCAGAGAAAAAACAGCATGCTAAAATGTAAATCTTATACAGACTGATTGCTTTGGTAAATATATAAAATAATAAGAGTTATTAAAACTTGTTTAGAAAAACCCAAAATTTGGACAAGATTGAGGAACAAAGGTGGTTTTGGATAAAGGTTTTGATTTCATGAGTTAAATTTTTTTTTCTTCTTATTGCAAAATGTGATGGTCTATTCATATGATTTTCATATGACAAAAGCTCCTTTAGTAACCTAAAAGATATTTGAATGATTTTAAGAAATAGTTTGACATAAAATAGAACACCTCACGTGTGCAATTACACCATTTTATTTTCTTATATATTATCCTTCTTTATATTTGTGCATTATTTTATAATGTGGAGAGGTTATATTACTTTTGAATATCTATTATATGTTTACACATAAACACAGAGAATGCACAGTAAGTGATATCTATGGCACTCTATTGAAAGTAAATTCTTGGTGTAACACTCTTGATCATGAACAGATATTTACCAACTATCAAGAAAAACTTAAGACATTGAGCAAATGTCATTAGTTAAGTCATTCAAATCACCTCATATTTAACAAATCTAAGTGGAAGTCCAAGGGGAATTCCAAATAAACATCACTGTTATACTGAATGTAGTCAATAGAGAATTATTATATCATTGGAGTTAAATGAACACATCCATTACATTTCTAAATAAATGTGGGAAGTGCTTTTTATCCCAGACGGAATAACAATGCTAAAGGAGATTGTCATCCGTATTTTATAGGAAAGGTACTCCAGAAATGTTTATGTTGCTAACAATCAAATTTACTAATATTAGTCAAACTTGACCATATAAATCGGATTTATATAATCCATATCTTAAAATTCTAACTTCTTAACAAATACCACTTGATTATTTTAAAACCATAGATGAAAAGAACACTGAGAGGGAGGTTTAGAAGCAGGATATATGTATGATTTTGATGCTTCAATAACTGCAAAGCCTTGGACAATTCACCTCTGTGTTTCCCCAGATTTCATATCTGTAAACAGACTAGATGATCTCTCAAAAGAATTCCACATCTAAAACTCTCTTTTTCTGTGTCCTGCCTTTCAGTATTTTTCCTTTAATTGAATCATTTATTTTCTTCTTTGATCTTATGCAATGCTACAATAAAAACAAAAACAAAGCCAATTTGATAAAATATCACATTCTCTATTAGTGATTTTTGTTATCTGAGCTGTTACAAAAGTGGTTGGATTTATTCCACAAATTAGGCCATCCATACCTGCCTTTCTGTAATCATATGCATGAAGAAAGAAAAACTTCACAACTTGTGTAGGAGTCTAATTTTTCAATTTAGTATTGACAGTCTGACCATGGGTTTGAGTGAAAGTTTAGATTTTGTAGATACTTTGGTTTCCTGATAATCTCAAAAGCTCAGTTATACTTTATAATATTTATGTTTACAATCAAGAAAGTCTTTACATATATTTCTATAATAAGCTATAAATATTATCACCTTCTCTGAATTGTCTAATTATTGTCCTTCTGCATAGACAAGCTAGCATGCTATACATCATATGGATAAAGCCACAAATTTCTTGCCAGATAATTTTGAACTAGTTTCAAATATTAGCAAATATATTAGGGACAATTTCATGTCAAAACATTGAGTAGTCATGATATAATAAAGTATAATAGACAATTCCTAATGTTTAAAAATTAGTATTCAACAGTCACAGAAAGAGGAAATTATGCTTTAGTTTGATGGTAACACCATCCTAGCGTCAAGCATGGTTACATTTCTCTTAATATTTTTCCTAGAAAAGCGTGGCTTCTAGCTTATTTGATTAATACAAATCCTTCAAAATCTTTTTATTCTGTTCTAGGATGAGAGGAAATATAACATTTATATTTTAAATTAATCATAAACTATACATTAATCTTGATTTAAAATAGAAACCTACTTTTCAACCGAGAATGTACACCTGTCATCTCAAAAGAAGGTATATTTACATATTAATTTTATATTTCAGATATAAACATTTATTAAATTCTCATTTTTTGTTTCACCTGAACTAACATGTAGTTAGAGAAATACATTTTAGAAAAAATTAATAGTAAGTGTATCTTACTCAAAATAATTCACTCTAGATTTTCTCAATTATTAAATGGCAAGTGCAATGTTTCTTCTTTACAGTATTATGATATTGTTACTATGCAGACCACTATTCATTTTTCCTGTTACTTCCTATAACTGAGTTTCTTCTTTAGTATTAATAAAATGCAACATCTATATCTCTTCAGCCCCTTTGTAAACGTGTAACGGAGTAACACATCTTGAACAATTCTAGTCACCATTTTACGATATGTGCAAAAATTCAGGGACTGTAAGTATAACCTACCTACAATTTTTCTATTTTCAGAAAGCCATACTTGCTCTTTTGGTGTGATCAAGGGGTTTCTGGAGACCGAGAAGGGAAAATGTGTCCATTTCTGAGAAACACTCACTGTAGGAAAGAAGGTGCTATTTGCATTTAATGTAAATACCACTTTCGTTCCTTTTAATTAAAAGAGAAACAGAAACCCTTCTATATTCTAAACATAAAAAATAAAAGTTTTTTCTCAATATGGTAGTTGATTGCAAAGACCATTCTGTATGTAGAGATGGTCCTCCCTCCAATTTTTTTTAGCATCATGCTATTTTCATTTAGAAAGGTCACATGAGTCTTTTGCTGAAACCAATGTGATTTTCCTAATAAGCTCACCATGCTAAGTGATCCAACAGAATTGCTCTGTTTGTTAATAAGGAGAGTAAATGACATTACTTGACAGAAACGCTCTTTCAATGGTGGTTTATTCCAAGAGATTAATTCATCCTTACTTGTCCAGTGTCACATATACGTTATTAAATATGCAATGTAGCATCCTTCTTATTCAATTATGATAATTTGCTGTTTTATTAATACTTGGAAATAAAATATATCACTCCATCCATTAGTAATCACGGTGATGAAACTATGTGATACCATATTAGAAGCAAGTCCAAGGTATTAGAGATCCATGTTCAACTTCTATAAAATGGTAAGTTCGATAAGCCATTTTGCACAGTTATATTTTTCCAAGCTTCTTGTCCTTCAGATTTAGTTAGTGGTCAATTCACTATTAGAGGAATGTAATTATTTTCTGGTTGGCACTGAGGATGAGTAAGACAAAAATCACCCTATCACTGAAGGTGCCATAGCCTCAAATACCCTACTCACTCCAGCTGCATTTATATAGAGGCTCTCAGTTGCACAAAAGATCAAACTGTTGTATCTAAAGATCAAGCCAGAATGCTTTTCAAACATTAGATCCTTCCCAAAGCAATTCTTTGTGTAACCAGTTTCCAAAAAAGTCTGAGGAAAAATTTCCATTGTTTCCTATCGTTATTAGACTGTTGGGTCCTACTGACGTAATAAATATACAAATCACTATTGTTTCAGCACAATGTTTTATGCATGACATTTTAAGAACTGTACAAAACACAATATTAAAATTCTGAAGTGAAAAATAATAGCATTATGGCTCATTACATTCTATATTGTGGTAGTTTGAACTGTGAGTAACTGTACTGTCATCCTGTCAACTCACTTTAAAAGATCCGCTATATTGTTTTACACAATGTCATTTATTTCACAGGTATAACTATACCAAAGTGTTCCGGTTTGGAAACATAGTGTAAATGTTTAAAAATATTTTCACACAGTTACCTGAAAAATACTTGCACTGAAAGCTAATCATCAGTTACAGAACCACCAACAAAAGTTCTGCTACTACAAATAGTTTTGATGAAACAAGACAAACAACGTACTAAACATTTTGGAATAATTTTTCAATATTATTATTACCTTCTGATTTGTTCTTAGACTTTAAAGATTCCCTAAAATATTGGTAAATGATGATGGAAACCTTTTTCTAAAAATATTGCTTTGATGGTAAAACGACTGGCAACAAAATGACAGAAGATAGCCCTAGAGATGCCTTTCTCCACTTTATCCTAGTATGTCTTTAGAGCCCTGATATAAATATATATGATATTCCAAGACCCTTTGCTTTCATCATTTTACACAGTCACTCCTACAGAAGCTTTCCTCATAACTGTAGGATCATCTGCCGCTGATGGTTTGTTCGGATCTTAATTGTCTTATGTAGTACATACTCAATTAAAACTCATGCTGGAGCAGGACTGTCTAGACTTTGGTAACTGCTTATTAAATAGTTAAGATGTTGTATGAGGAGCAAGTGACAAATTAGCAAACATATATGAGGCTTTGAATAACAGCCAGAGTAATACCAGGCTGAATTAATTACCATGTTAAATATATGCAGAATGGGAAAATAAAATACCTGCTATGATATGGACAAAACTTATCTTAATATACTTGTTTGAAGATGGGCGCTTCCAAAGGAAGCTCATGAGCATATGGCGCTTTACTGTGCGTTTAAAAAATTGTGCTAAAAACATGTTTTGTCCTAGTAAATGTTTTTTTAAAAATAGACTTTGTTTTTTAGAGGAGTTTTACGTTCACAGCAGGACTAAGTGGAAGGAAGAGAGGTTTCTCATATACCATCTAGCCCTACGAACATACAGCTTCCCCCACCATCAAAACTTCATACCACAATGGTATGTTACAATTGATGAGCCTACATTGATACAATGTCAGCCAAAGTCCATAGATTACATTAGGTTTCACTCAGTGTTGTACATGCTATAGGTTTGGGCAAGTATTCAACGATGTGTCCACCACTATAGAATCATACAGGTTGAACATCTCAAATCTAAAAATCTAAAATTCAAATGCTCCAAAATTCAAAACTTTTGAAGTGCTGATAAGATGTCCAAAGCAAATGCTCATTGGAGCATTTTGGATTTCAAATTTTCAGATTTGGGATGCTCAACTGGTAAGTGTAATGTAAATATTTCAAAATCGCCCCCCCCCCCCAAAAAAAAAAAGGAAATCTGAAACACTTCTGGTCGCAAGCATTTCGGATAATATATAATCACTGCCTTAAAGATCTTCTGTAATCTGTCTATACATTCCACCTCCTGCCGCAACCCCTGGCAACCACTGAAACCACTCATCTGTTTACTGTGATCATAGTTTTGCCATTTCTAGAATGCCACATAGTCGAAATTCAACAGTATGTAACCCTTTCAAATTAGCTTCTTTCACTTAGTAATATGCACTTACAGTTCCCCCATATTTGTTGGTCTTTTTTCATGGCTTTATAGCTCATTTCAAAGGTCCTGAATAATATTCTATTGGCTGCATGTACCTGTTCATTCATTCATTCACTCACCTATGGAAGGAGAGCTTGATTGTTTACAAGTTTGGTCAATTATGAATAATTATAAATATTTGCACTCAGGTTTTTGTGTGGATATGTTTTAAGCTTATCTGGGTAAATACCAAGGAGTACAATTGCTAGATCATATGATAAGTGTGTGTTTAGTTTTGTGAGAAACTGCCAAATTGTTTTCCAAAGAGGCTGTACCCTTTTGCATTCCCACCAGCAATGAAAGAGATTTTGTTGTTACATAACCTGGTCAGCATTTGATGTTGTCAGTGTTTTGGATTTTGGCCATTCTAAGAGGTGCTTAACAGGTAAATATTTTTAAGTAACAATAATGATGCTTTCTTAAAAAGATTTTAAAAAAATTCTTCAAGAATCAGCGACACACTCCTAAAATCCAAATACTGAACAGGAGTGCATGTTCACATTCTCCAGTCCAGTTACTTTTCAGTAACATAGACAACAGCACTGCCCTACTAAAAATCTTCAAGTGATGTGTTCTCAAAACATCATCAGAGAATTAAAATTAGCGAAGACAAGAGAAAAATAATAACCTCTGAATCAAATAGATACCTTTTAAAGGGATAGTCATTACTGTTACAAAATATAGAGAAGATTGTATACTTGCTATTATATTTACATAAATATTATTAGGAAACTCATCAAATGCCTCACTGAGAATTTAAAAAGTATTTTGTATCAGCTTTATATAAAAGCCTATCAAAAGTGAAATGGGATTAATTTACTATTACACATTCTTATTCATTCTGTTTTCTTGCTCATCACTTTATACAATTATATATTTTTAAAAAGTACTTATTGCCTTTGTATTTTGTCGATGATAGGTTGTAAGGTACTGTAGTACAGAAGCTGCATCTATGCCTGTGTGTCTCCTAAACAGTCATTGATTCAATTAATATTTGTGGACCTGTTTTCCAGCTATCATGCTAGTTTCCAGAAGTATGATCAAAAATTACAACAAAAGCGATCCACACTTACACACACAACAGCAGTCCTAATTCTCAAGAACCTGTATTATAGACAGTAATATAGATACATAAAAACAATTAAAATTCAGCTTTAATAAGAGAAACCTCTGGTGTTTGGTTTTATGTTAATTGTACTGTGTCATGATAGTATGTGTGTATTTTTCCCTAAACATAATGATCCTAGTTTGTCTTCTATTAGTATTTTAGTAGTATATGCCTGAATGTGAGTTTTAATTTGACATTGTAAAGTCAATAAATAACGGGAGATTAAATATAAAACATTTAAACCTCTTCAGTTAAGATGGCATGGAAATTTCATGACTTGACACTTATTTAATATATAGAAGAATAAGAAAGAAAATATAAAAAAAGAAAGAGTGTTATAACACAGTAGGACTTAGACACAATCTTGGCACCTCCACATATCAGACACAGTAGCTGCAGTCCTGACAGACTATTTTCCCCCCATGGGTAGTGGCTTCGCATTTAGATTCCTTCACTAAGAGTCCACATGTACAGGATAAACTAGAATTAAGATCACTGCTTGAAGTCACAAGTTATGGCAAAAGTTCACCCAGCAATCATTCTTGAAAAGAAAAATGTCTTAAAAATTTTGCTGACCTGCTGCCTGAGAGCCTATTATGTTAGGAATCTGTTACACTAGAGATACGGGAAGAACACACACACACACACACACACACACACACACACACACACGCCATGAAGGCAGAAGCAGCCCAAAACAAATGAATTTGAGTACTGAATCTTCAATATTTCTAATTAATTATCACCACAAACAGCACTCCACGTGGTAGTAGACTATCTGAATCTAGGCAGCTATTCCAGGGGCCAGATGGGGACAACAGCAAAGTGGTGGAACAGATATAATAAACACAATGACAATAAAAGCAAACCCTTTTACTCTAAATGCTCCAGAAATCTGTGAATAAATAAAGGCCTAAAAAAGGCAGAAAACCACCACCACCACCACCACCACCACCACCACAACCACAATGATTCAACCATGAGTTCAGTCTAGATGAAATTATTCTCATATAGATGTCTGAAGAACATTTTTAAATAATATGTTTAGAATTCTCAACAATAAAATTAAAAGATAAAACTCAATAAAAAGAACAAGTAGTTATAAAACAAAAGCATGTAGAAATTAAAATAATTTCATATTGAGAAGAAAAAAGCTATAAATGTTGGAAATGAAAAATGTAGTAAATGAATCAATTTTAAAGAAATAAACAGCTTAAGTATCTGGATTGAACAAGAAGATAAAATTAGTGAATTAGAAGATACTAATGAAGAATTCATCCAGAACGTAACACAGGGAGGCAAGTAAATGTTAAAAATAAAATACTAAGGACATAAAAGATGGACAATATTATACGACAATAAGAGTTCCTAAAGAAGAGAATGAATGGAATTGCAGAGAAGCCAGATTTAAAGATAATGGCTGATAATTTTATAGAACTGATGATAGACAAAGGGCAAGGTTTATCTAAGAAAGTTTTGAAGAAAAACAAGTTAGGGTGTCTGGCCCTACCACATGTCAGGGCTAAATATAAATCTATGGTAATTGAGACATATTATAGTACTGGCACAGGAATTGGCAAATGAAGAACAGAACAAAAAAAGATGCCCAGAAATACTAATGTACATACTAATCTAATGTACATGTATATACTAATCTCGATGCAAAACAGAGGTGACACTACAGGTGAATAGAGAAAAGGTAGACATTTAAACAATGATGGTAGGACAGTTATTTACTCTAAAATAATTCACAAAATTATTCACTATTCACAAAAAAACCCCTAAAAATTATTTCCAAGTTTATTTAGAGACCGATGAGTGAAAGGGAAAAACTGTAATACCTAAAGAATTACATGAAAATAAGAAATAGACCAAAAGTCAATTGAAAAATTGGCAAAGGACATGAACAGATGATTCAGAGCAGGAAATAATAAAGGGTCAATGAATATAAAAGATACATTGATCAAAAAACAAATGAGATATAATTTCATACTCATCAAATTGATAAAAATTATAAAGTGTCAATATCTAGTTGATAAGAATTTGAAAAATGGGGGATGCATACACTACTGTTGGAGGCATAAATTGGTACCACCATTCTAAAATCAAGTACGGCAAAATGTTATATTAATATTATTTTTAGTCATCCTCCAGTTGTTTGACATATTTCATAATAATAAAATATATACATGTATCAAAATAGCTCAATTTAAATTAGAAAATGAATATACATGACCTATCTTTAAGAACTAGTCTGTATGTTTACCATTTCCATTTGAACATTTTTTATTCATTTCTCTTATAGATCCTATATATTTAATGTGTTCTTGCTTTTGCTGTTAAAGGCAAGACTGGAGACTTCTTTAAATTACAGTGCTTTATCAACATGCATCATTTTAGATTCACAAGCATCCTTAACCAGAGTCAGAGAGCTTTTTAAAAAATATATATATATATATATAGAAAACTGCTCCCTTTTACTTTCTGTGTTATATGGATTTTGAGTTTCTTAGTTTTGAGCTATGGAATTTTCTTTCTATGGGTTTATTCTTTTTAAAAGTAGTGCTATTTAGATTTCCATTTATATATTGTTCTTTAGCCCCTTAAGCAAATCATCAGACTTAAGGGCACCATTCATAATACTATTATTACATATTATTAGTCAAATATCTATAAAAAGATGAATATGACACCAAGTGATAGAATGTCATCAGTCTCTCTAAAAATAATAGTAATAAAAATAGTAATACAATCATACAAGAAGTTGTTTGCTCAGGTTAAATTTAATTTATACCCTGAAATAATAAGAATTATATTGCTTTGCACGTCTGGGAAACAGAACTTACAAAAAAGGGAAACTGACTCATAAAGTACTTATATTTTAAAATTATTTATCTAATTCTCATTTGTTCAACAAATTGCACAAATATACAAGTTGAAAACAGTATAAAAATAATCTTACACTTAAGATCTTCTTTCAAATCTAGTCTAAACAAGTCTACTGGAAGACTTTGGATAGTCTTCTATGTTAGTACTTTGCCTCTGCTGGATGAAAGAACACAGGCAATCAACACAGTTAATGAAGAAAAATGTACATATTATAGTCATTGTTTGGCCTGTATATACATATTGGAACTTACTCTGCTAGGATAAATTGCACAAATATACACGCCTTTTCTAAAATAAATGCACTGTCGAGTCCATGGATAAAGTCCTATCCTTGCCAGATAATAATTCTAAAAACAAGAAACCAAAAATAAAAAAATAAAATTTTGAAAGGAAATAAAACTTCATGTACCTTTCAAGGGAGTAGGTGACGAAGATGGTGCTAGAATGACTCTCAGCCTAGGGTGGTGTGTCATAAGATTAGAAAGATGTGTTCTAATCTCTGTAAGCCAAGTGGTAGTTCATCAGCAAAAATTATCAGTTCATTGTTAATTCCTGGTTTATTTCTCTTTCAGTTTTTACCGCCTAAAGTCTTGTTTAAAACTTTTGACTGGGCCAGATTTAAGATTACACATGTTGTTAAGGGGCAAGGCAGGTCCTAGTTTACCCTAGGATTAGAATGTTAAGCCACCAACCAGCAAAATAACCCTAGGGACAAAATAAAGTCAGTTGGATCAGAATTGAAACTGAGGGGTCTCCACTCTTCTTTCCCCAAAGAATTTTCTCCTTCGTTATGAATCTGGAGGATATGTATTTTAGTAAAGATAAAGGTTTTTTTTTTACATATATTGATTGGAGGGCATTCATAATCAATTTTCAAAGAAATTAGCATTGAAGGAAATAAGGAGCAGGTTACAATTTCTTTACAGTCATAGTAGGTTGTGGGAGAGATGCTGGACTATAAACTCCCATATTCTGAGCTTGTTATCCTGGCACAGAAATTATGATGACATTGAAAAAAATATTTTCATAATGTAGTCCATTAAATTTCATGTCTACATTATGGAAACTCAGAGGTTTATGGTCACATAAGAGTGAAAGGGCAATCAAGGAGTAAGGAAAAATTATGCAGAAAGGAGAAAAGCAATGATGCTTGGTGAGAACAATCATACTAAGTGTGAGAACAAAGATGATGTACCTAGTTCAGATTTTCTAGTCACTTGAAATATTACTGACCTCTAAAACTTAGGGGGACTTTAGGCTGAGTCCAGGAATTTTTTTTTCCCTAAAGAACTGTAGACTTGGCAAGTCTATATTTAGTGTACTCACTGTTTTTCTGAATTTTGCCTAGATCCTGACTGTCACAGGTACAGATGAATTCAACACACCCGGAGGGCTCTTGTTGGAAACCTGAAGAATTTCCATGAAATCTCCAAAAGTCAAAAGATGCCATTATTACAACACTCTAGAGGTTGGCAAACTACCTTTTATTTATTTATTTTTTTGCTACAATTGAAAATAAAACCAACATGTATTGTTCCATAGGCCCCTTGTAAATTTATTTGTATAAACTGCTGAGAATTTACGTTAATGTCTTTTACTTCTTCTTTTTGCATTTCAATTGAAATCCTAGGAAACTTTGGCAATAAAAGATCCAATAAGTTATTGATAATTTAAAAAATGATTCCATAGCATCAACAAACTATATTAAATTCCAATATCCCATTCTATGATTCAGTCTTGGCCCATGTAAATCTGTGATAGAAAATAAGCTGAAAATACCAATATGGGCAGAACAAAATACGTAAAGATAAATCTCTCAATTTTTATATCATACGTTCCAGGATATTTAATGAAAAACACTTTGAGTCCTAAGAGTCCATATTAATAGAATTCCACGTTAAAACTCCTGAACTTAATATAAGCTTTATCAGCAACATAGCTTTCAGTTAACATAAAATAAATGTAAATAACATTGACAGGTCATTTTAGTACTAAATATTAGTGCTTTATAAGCAACTAAATTATTTAGTCAGCTTTATTCCAGATAAGAAGACCCTTGGATTTATTAAATTATAGATTAAATACTGATGTGTCTGACTATTCCTGAGAAACACCGAAGCCCCACTATGTCTAGAATATTGATATTTACTGAGGTTCATACATAAGTCGCTATGCTAGTGAGAGATTCAAGATGAAACTCTAGCTTTCTCTTTATTAAATCAGCCTTGGCCTCCCCTTATTTTTATGTAGGTATTGATTTCCTTGATTTGAAGCAAACTTTCCTCTTTTGAGAAAAATAAATCACAACTCATTGCTTTACCATCTCTCCCACTTCTTCTACCCTAAAGATAGCTGACAAGGCTGGCAATAAAAAGGTAGAAAAAGTAAAGAGTCTTACAACGTAGATGATTTTTGACCCAGGAAGTACAAGTTTAATATAATTAAAAGTGCAATGTTGAAATCAGCAAGAGTTTGTATTTTTGAATTATTCAACCCCATTATGTTCTCTATAGAAAACCAAAGAAAAATAAATAACCAAAAGAGAAGC
Organism: Homo sapiens; assembly: GCF_000001405.40. NCBI lineage: Eukaryota > Metazoa > Chordata > Mammalia > Primates > Hominidae > Homo > Homo sapiens. Next base: position 33,266,433 of record NC_000023.11, read on the forward strand.
TGCAAAAGTGTTTCATTGAGTACAGCGTTCAATACCTCGTCAAATAGGAGTTAAAGATTTAGTGAAAGTTGAAAGGGTGGTTAACTTGAAAGAAGATAGTTGGAGGCAATACAAATATGAATTATGATGTTTGCAGGTTTTAGAAGAAAGTCTTGGATTTTTTCATCAAATGACAGATGAGAGACGAAGCATTTTTTATTTCTGTAATAAAAAGTATGGGTGGCTATACTGTCACTTAAATATTTTTAATTGCGAAGAAACATCTCATCAAGTAAAAAGTAGATAAGAATAAACAAGACGCTAAGCATAGACAGAAAGTGTCCTATTTTAATGCAGAAAAAAGTTTTCAATAAAATCCAACATCCCTTCATGATAAAAACCCTCAACAGACTAGGCACTGAAGGAACATACCTCAAAATAATAAGAACCATCTATGACAAATCCATAGCCAACATCATACCGAATGGGCAAAAGTTGGAACGATTCCCACTGAGAACTGGAACAAAACAAGGATGCCCACTCTCACCAGTTTTATTAAACATAGTACTGGAAGTCCTAGCCACAGCAATTAGGCAAGAGAAAGAAATAAAATGCATCCAAATAGAAAAAGAAGTCAAACTATCTTTTTTCACTGACGGTATGATTCTATACTTAGAAAACCCAAAGACTCCACCAAAAGGCTACTAGAACTGATAAACAATTTTAACGAGGTTTCAAGATATACAATACATAAAAATATATTTTTATAGTAAAACATATAAAAATTAATAGCATTTCTATACAACAATAATGACCAAGCTGAGAGTCAAATGAAGAACACAATCCCATTTACAATAGCCAAAGAAAATGAAATACCTAGGAATACACCTAACCAAGATGCTGAAAGATCTCTGTAAGGAGTATTAAAAAACATTGTTGAAAGAAACACAGATAAACGAAAAAGCATTCCATGCTCATTGGAAGAAACAATATAATTAAAATGGCTATACTGCACAAAACAACTTATAGATTCAATGCTGTCCTTATCAAACTACCAAGGTCATTCCTCACAGAATTAGAAAAAACAATTCTAAAATTCATATGCAACCAAAAAAAAAAATAAAAGAGCGCATATAGCCGAAGCCATCCTAAGCAGCAAGAACAAAATTGGAGGCATCACACTACAGTACTTCACCCTACAATAATTCACACCACAGTACATCACACTATAGAACTTCCAACTATGCTACAAGACTACAGTAGCCAATACAGCATAATATTGGTACAGAAACAGACATATAGACCAATGGAACAGAATAGAAAACACAGAAATAAAGCCATACACCTTCAACCAGCCTTCGACAAGGCTGGCAAAAACAAGCAATGGTAAAAGGACTTCCTATTCAATAAATGATGCCAGGATCACTGGCTAGCCATATGCAGAAGAATGAAACTTGATCCCTACCTTTTGCCATATACAAAAATAAACTCATGGTGGATTAAAGATATTAATGTAAGACCTAAAACTACAAATCCTAGAAACAAACCTAGGAAATGTCCTTCTTGACATTGGCATTGGCAATTTTTTTTTTTTTTTTGACAGAGTCTCACTCTGTCGCCCAGGCTGGAGTACAGTGGTGTGATCTGGACTCATTGCAACCTCTGCCTCCTGGGGTCAAACAGTTCTCCTGCCTCAGCCTCCCAAGTAGCTGGGATTACAGGCGTCTGCCACCACACCCGGCTAATTTTTGTATTTTTGGTAGAGACAGGGTTTTGCCACGTTGGTCAGGCTGCTTTCGAACTCCTGGCTTCGGGTAATCCACCCACCTTGGTCTCCCAAAGTGCTGGGATTACAGGCATGAGGCACTGCGCCCGGCCGGCAAAGAATTTTTGGCTAAGTCCCCAAAAGTAATTGTAACAAAAATAAAAATTGACAAGAGGGACCTAATTAAACTAAAGAGCTTCTGCACAGCCAAAGAAACTATCAACAAAGTAAACAGATAATCTACAGAATGGGAGAAAATATTCACAAACTGTGCACCTGACAAAAGTCTAATATTAAAAAATGGACAAAAGACATGAACAAACACTTCTCAAAGGAAGACATGCAAGCGACCAACAAACATACGAAGAAATGCTCATCATCATTAATCATCAGAGAAATGAAAAGCAAAACCACAATGAGATACCATCTCACACCAAACAGAATGGCTATTATTTAAAAGTCAAGAAAGGCTGAGTGCAGTGGCTTGCGCCTGTAATCCCAGCACTGTAGGAGGCTTAGGCAGGAGGATCATATGAGGCCAGGAGTTCAAGACCAGACTGGCCAAAATGGTGAAACCCCGACTCTAGTAAAAATACAAAAATTAGCTGGGTGTGGTGGTACACATCTGTAATCCCAGCTGCTAGGGAGGCTGCAGCATGAGAATCATTTGAACCCAGGAGGTTGAGGTGCAGTGAGCCAGGATTGCCCCATTGCACTCCAGCCTGGGTGACAAAAAAAAAAAAAAAAAAAAAATCAAAAGATAAACGCTGGTGAGGCTGTAGATAAAAGGGAGTGCTTATACACTGTTGGTTGGAATGTAAATTATTTCAGCCCCCGTGGCAAGCAGTTTGGAGATTTCTCACAGAACTTAAAACAGATCTATCATTCAATTCAGCAATCCCATTACTGAGTATATACCCAAAGGAAAATAGATCATTTTATCAAAAAGACACATGCACTGGTATGTTCTTTGTCACACAATTCACAATAGCAAAAATATCGAATCAACCTAAAAGCTCATCAATGGTTGACTGGATAAAGAAAATGTAGTACATACACACCACGGAATCCTATGCAGCCATAAAAAAGAACAAAATCATGTCCTTTGCAGCGACATGGATGGAGCTGGAGGACATTATATTAAGCGAAGTAATGCAAGAACAGAAAACCAAATGCCACATGCTCTCACTTATAAATGGGAACTAAACATTGAGCACAACGGACATAAACATGAGAACAACAGACACTGTGGACTACTAGAGTGGGGAGGGACCGGCGGGGAAGGAGTTAAAAGCTACCTATTGGGTACTATGCTTACTATCTGGGTGCAATATACCGTTTTAACAAATCTGCATGTGTACTCCCTGTATGTAAAATAAAAGTTGAAATTAAAAATAAAAGTGTCCTACTTTAAAGAAAACATGCCAGGCACCTATTACACAGCAAGTATCATTATTCGCTCACTACAATTATTTTCAGATTGAGGCAAGTTCATAGTTAAAAATTTAATTGGGGTGATATAATACAATGTGGTTTGTTTAGTAGTAGATTTTATTTTAATAGTGTTATATATGACTTAAGTTTATACAATCATCAAGAGTCTGATGGGGTCTCTGTAATTAGCCATACTTTACTGCATTTTATGAGTAGAATTATATGCCTTAGTGATGTTTGCAAATTCGGAGTTTTGCAAAGATCTTGGGACAAATACCCTGGGGCTCTTCAGAGTCTAATATATACGTAAAATAAAAGGTCATAATAAATAAAATCATATGGAGCTTATATATATGTATATATATATAATCACAGATTTATAATGATTACCAAGTGGATCGTAGCTATAAGTGATTTAACAGGGGCAATGCTTTCTTTACTCTACCCTGATCAACACAATATTTGGGTTTATGTCTCTAGTGAGATAACGCTTATGTTTTTATCTTGATACTTTTAAAATTCCCACTTCACCTTCTGGTCCTTATTTTTTTCATATATCATCAATGGGTATTCAAGGAAAAGAAAATTATTGTATAAGGGTTGAAAACATCAAGAAACAATAAATAGTCAGATTTTTAAAACATTTTCCCAAACTATCTTTTGAGAGCCAAAATTGTAGCTGTGAGTAAAGTAAGGCTGAGTTTATCCTAAAGCAATAGACAAGGAAAAAAAAAAATCAGACAAAGAATGGCAACTCTATACCTCTCTACCCTGAGACACACCTGAGACCACCCTAAAAATCACCAGGGCTGAGAATAGGAGGCACCCACTCATAAAATGTATCTACCCACTCTCATTTGCATGGCTCTACGTGGGTCCTTCTGCTTTTGCAATACCTTGGGACATTTACAATCAACCCCCTCACAACAGAGAGTTAAGTGCCTTGATTTCCAGACAGTGGTGAGTTTTAGTAGGGAACGCCTCAGCTTAGACACTTGAGAAGAAACTAGACGGCAGCAAAATCCATCCCGTTGCACACGTCCTCAACTAGGAAATGTTAACACCTTCCAAGATTATCTAATTTTATGGTCAATAATTGGTCTTCAGAAAAAGAGAGCAAATATAAGCAAAATATAAGGGAATAGTATATAAACAAAAACAATTTCAACACAGGAAGCTGAATAAACTATTAATTTTTAGAGAAAGGGTCAACATAAGATCACTGCTTTTTTATGCTATAAACTATATATATGGCCCCCAAACATAAATGAATATAATCTTGGCTGTATTTATTTTTATTGCTTTAAAAATGAATTATTTATATTATCAACAGCTGTGGCTAAAGAAAAAAGACTTTTGTCATCCAAACAAAGAACTATTTATAACCCTGATATTCCAAGGTGTATTTAAAAAGGTGTTATTTGTGGCAATATTGTATCTATTTTCTCGAAGATCTTAAAATTAGCAATTACTATCAATGAACATTTATTGAATATAAAGTAACTGTATAGCATTTGTATCTAATGCATTTCTAATTGCTAAGTTACAGTTCCAACATTTTCATAGTGTCCAAGTGATTATTTTATATATTTCTTTTTAAATAATAAAAGTATCATAAACTTTTTGGAAAAACTAAACTTCCTATTTTATTGCTACTTATTGCCTATTATTTAATCTTTTATATGTTAACATGATCAAAGGTGTAAAAAATTAATGATCCTTAATTTTACCTAAAACTAAAAAAAAAAAAGCAAATATTTATCAAATGCTGAATATTTTTTAAGCACTGTTAGCAATTATCTATCTGTCTATCCTAGAATCTCCACTCTGAACACTGCATTCCATGTGATGAAACATTAGATATGAAAACACAAGGCTGGGCGCGGTGGCTCATGCCTGTAATTCCAGCACTTTGGGAGGCCAAGGCAGGCAGATCACCTGAGGTCAGGAGTTTCAGACCAGCCTGGCCAACATGGTGAAACCTCGTCTCTACTAAAAATATAAAAATTAGCCGGGTGTGTGGCGGGTGCCTGTAATCCCAGCTACTTGGGAGGCTGAGGCAGGAGAATTGCTTGAACCCCAGAGGCGGAGGTTGTGGTGAGCCGAGATAGTGCCACCACACTCCAGCCTGGGCGACAAAGCGAGACTCTGTCTCAAAAAAAAAACCAAAAAAAAAAAAACCAAAAAAAAGAAAACACAATAAGACCATTCAATGATTTAAGTTAAAACATGAATAGTGACCATGTGAGTGGCAAAGCAAATGTGTGTTCTTTTTCATTTTTATTTTTTTTGAGACAGAGTCTCACTCTGTTGCCCAGGCTGGAGTGCAGTAATGCAATCTCAGCTCACTGCAACCTCTGCCTCCTGGGTTCAAGCGATTCTCCTGCCTCAGCCTCCCTAGTAGCTGGGATTACAGGTGCCCACCACCACGCCTGACTAATTTTTGTATTTTTAGTAGAGACAGGGTTTCACCATGTTGGCCAGGCTGGTCTCAAACTCCTGACCTCAGGTGATCCGCCTGCCTCAGTCTCCCAAAGTGCTGGGATTACAGGCGTGAGCCTCCATACCCAGCCTCCCTGATCCCTTTAAGATCTTTTCCCCCATTTTTCCAATGACATCTTATATGCATATACATGAGATAGAATTTGTGTTCTAAATTCAAAGAAGGAAGAGTTCATTGGATTTGGGGAGAACTTGGACGATGTTGAGTTGGTTGGTATTGATCAGAGAGGAAATGTATTTATAGAGAAATCCATGTAGAGTGAAGTAATTATCAAGGTTATTTTGTGACTGATATGAATTCAAGGGGCAGTTTATAATTCAGTCACATGTTAAAGAACAAAAAGGACGAAAGAAGAATAAAGCAGATAGAATCGTGAAATGGGTTACATTATTTGCACCATAAAGTTTAAGTAAATCAAATTATTGGGAATATTCTGAGATAGAGCTAAAGTCTTTCTCAAGAGTCATGGTTGAAACCACATGTTGTGGAGGAACTGATGGTGATTGTTGCCCCATTGTGGGATTCCTCCCTATGGTAATGACATCAAAATGAAAAAAAAAAAAAACACACACACACAAGAAAATGACGCAGATTGTAATTAGAGGTGGAGCTGTTTATGATCTGGTTATCTCCACATTGTTCTGGGAAAGAATTGAGACATTACTGGGTCAAATCATGTCTGTGAGACAAAATGAAAGGTAAAAATAGTGAATAAAAAGAGAAAGATTAGAAACAAGCTTTAGTCACTTGCTCTTCCTTGCGGTAGGCCCTTGGAATATTGACAAATCCTAAAATAATTTAAAAAAAAACAGTGGATTTTAATCACCATGAGGGTAAAAATAGTCTTGTTTACCACTGTATTTCCAACACATAGCGTGGTATCTGACCCTCCCTAAATAATTATTGAATTATTGATTGCACATTTTAGACTACTATATTAGCATATCCCACCTCTAAGCATTACCCTGAGATGTAACTGTGCAATACAGCAATAAAGGGTGTCACTGTGTCCTCAGTCCAGGCCTAACACACAGTTGAGCTCTGAACAACAATGTAACATCAAACAGTGACCCTGTTGTAACATGTTCTGGACTTGTCTAAGCTAAAGTTCAAATATGATACTTCCAACCCTGGTTATAATCTCTGAATGATGCATTTTATACATAGCAATGACTTTTTTATTTTTTAAAAAAGAAGCATTTACCATGCAAGAAAAAGGACAACATTGCTTCAAGAATAGTAATCAGTCAGTGGCACCCATCTTAATGAGAGGATTTACATCCCATTGTTTTCATTTTAAATGTCAATGTGCATACATATAAACATTTAGAAAAACAGGTTTCCAGTAGATCATGTTATGTAAAGGTCATACAGACCTTGCAAATATTCCTGCATCTCTAACTAATCTAATCCGGTTCTTGACTTCAAATATCAAATGATATCCCTTACTGCCACCCAGAATTTTGAATGTCTGGTATTGAGTGGTTTCTAAAAGTTTGACTTTTTATATTTGAAGGGCCCACATGAAGCCATACGCAATTAGCATATGCTGTATTGTGGCAAGTTCTGTTAACATCAGCTCTTTGATTGAGGAAGAACACTAACTGTTGAATCATCAAAACACTACAGCAGTATTTTACAACCTCAGTTATGCATAATGTGAAGTAATATGCATGGCCTGCCCTCTGTAAATATGAGAGGCAATTTGTTTGGCTCCACATTTTATTTTGCTTTCAGGATTATACTACTTACTAACTTCAACAAAAGCAATATAATAAGAAATATTGCCTCACAATACCACAGCTCTGTCCATCAATAGCAAAAATTCTCAATCTTAGCACCAGTGCCAGGAGATGAATCTCATTATGATAATTCAGTGATTGTATACGGATTCACATTTCCCAGCATACATAAGAGAATACAAAACAAACACAAGTAGGATAAGCAATCAGATAACTGAAGTTTTTTTTGTCAAAGATATTAAAGAGTATGTTAAGAATCATCTAATGTCATCTCCCTATTACTGGAAAAAATGGAAGCTCAGGATTTATATAATTAGCTCTAGGTCACACAGGTAGTTTGATGGTAAATCCTAGAGAATTCTACTGTTCATATTTCTTAAACACATATTTTCTTCATTATACTTTATGTATTACAGTGATATTAGCCACTACCAAGTCAGCACTAATTATAACTTGATAGATTTAAAGGTCTAAGCTGAAAATATTTAGAAAATTCATGTTGAGAATATTGAGAAATAAGGTGGGATCCAAGGTGGCATGAAAGGTCAGAGTCTTAGTCTGAACTAGAATGCATGCATGTAAGGCACATGCTAGAAATTTGTGAGCAAAGGAAGAAGTGAGAAAAAAATGAATATTTAGTAAGGTTAATTTGTAATTAGTCTATAGGATAAGGTGGAGTGTAGAAACCATTCTGCCAGGGAGATGAAAATTAGGGAATTGCATGTACAAATTCATTAGCTAAAATAAGGTTCTGTTGTTTGAGTCTCTCAAAAGAAATCACTTCTCAATAGTTATGTAAATACTGAAATACAACTTTGAAAATAATTTTTAGTACTAGCCATCAAAATTTGGGGCTTATGATGTACAAACTGTGTGTTTCAAACACTACTGATGGGATCTGCCATCGAGGAGCCCATGACTGAGATTCCTGGTATGTGCTATATCTGTATATCTGCCTCCTCCAGGAAGATTTGAGGGCCTCAGAAACTTTTTCCAAACGTTTATAACAAGGATCCTAAGACTATTGCCTTCATAGCGAGGAAGCCAGCAATGAGCTGGATCCTGGACAGCATGCTGGCCCCTGACATGGGCAACAAATTAGATGGGCCACAGAACCTAATTTCTATAGCCTTGACTCACCACAGGTTTATGCTCTCCCGCACAATGGCATTGGGGCAAGTTTATGTCTTTGTCGTGTTGTGCTGTTTGTTTTCTAAGCAAAGGGCAGTCTCCTATCTCATGCCAAATTTAAAATTCAGGCTGCATGAAATCTTAGAGATTTCACTTAAGCTTTTGTGCAAATTAGTTGGTTTGATTGAATCAGTGTATGGTACAGCCTAGTAAATGTCATTCTTATATTCATTCAAAAGAATACATGCTTCTACAAATTTGCTCATAAAATTAGCAATGAATACTGGTGGAGAGTCACACATGGGAAAGAGAAAACCTGGCTATAAATCTCAGCTCTACCACTGACTAGCTGAGTTAACACGAACTTTAAGCCCTTTTAACTTTGGCTTTTCTCATCTGAAAAATGGGCAGAAAATGTGGGATTTTGTGAGGAATAGAATTAATACTAAGCAAAAGTTCAGATCCGTTTTAAATGTCAGCAATTATTTTTCTATTTAAAAAAGTATATAGCGTATGTTCATGTATCACTAAAAATCATTTCTGGGACAAGCTGAGACATACCATAATTATGTGTCAACACCTGAGGTACGTGTAATTAATGCTAGAGAAGGTCAGAAGAAGGGAGCTTAACATTGGCAATTTGCTATTTAGGAAGTGTTCCAAAGAAAAAGTGGGATTGTGATGGACTATGGAACTCAGATTAGTAAGACTTGGACTAAATGAAAGACATCCTAATGATTCAACAGGACTAAAATTAAATATGGAATTGAGCAAAAGAGACTGAGTGTTAACATCCTAGAAAATTGGGAAAATATTGGCATAATCATTTGCCCATGGGAAAGCATATGACATGTACTTGCATACACATATATTCCATATATGCATGCATCTCTGTGTATGTTTACGTACATATACATATCATTTGCACTCAGAAAACACTATTACTAACACTACAATCATATATATGTGGTGTGACTATACAATTGTATGATTGTTTTCTTTGAAGTTCATTAAAATCACATATATTACTTGCAAATTTCCGATTTATGTACATATGCATACCTCTTAAAATGGGATATATAGTATTCCATCTAATAAAGATGAAATTTTTGTCAGGCTTGGAATTCAAGAGATCTTCCTTTTATGTATTATATTTTTACTCAAATGGACCACTGCTAGTTAAGTTTCTTTCAAGTTTTCTCTGATTCGGTAAATGCCATTTGAGGAGTTCATTAACATGCGTTTAAATTCAGGTTCCAGTGCATGATGACGGTCACATCAGGCCATGGTGAAACAGGAAACACATGAAGAGGCTGGAGTATTTTTTTTTAATTATTTCATTTTTTAATTCTGTGATCAGGTCCTTCCAAGTTTTGGTGCTGATAGGGTCTTTTTCTTTTATATTACAATGGTGAGAAGCCCTAATTAGCAAAGTAAGAAAATGGCAACTCAAGGTTGATCTCTGGTTTGTTTCTAACTTGTTTTAAATTTAGTTGAATCATGAAGTCTAAAAGTCCAGAGAGCACGAAACTAAGCTACATTAATTTGAACATCTGACATAAGTTAGACTAGTATTTTTCAAGTTGTATTCTATAGAGCTCCCCAATTAAATTCAGCAAAATGATACTGGTATTGTAAGTAAAAAAGAAAGTAACAACCTATTACATTTCTTTCTTTGTCAAAAATATGTAATCTACGAATCATTGGGGTGAGCATCAATATTATATACATGGGATGAAAATGAATTTAATTTCATTAGGATCAGGCTTTAAAGATCTAAACTAAGGCTGTTTGAATTTTTCTTTTTAATTTGATAAACTACAAGTTCACAGGAAGTTTCAAAAAATTGTATAGGGAGGTTGAAGGTCCTGTGCACCCTTCACGGAGGCTCACTCAATATTTACATCTTGCAAAACTGCGGTATAATATCAAAAGAATTGACATTGGTATAATCCATAAACCTTCTTCTGATTTCACCATTTATGTACGTATACATTTGTGTGTGTATGTGTGTGTGTATATATAGTTATACTCAATTTTACCACATAGATCACTTCACGTAAGCACAACACAAGTGGTAGATGTACCATCACCTCAAGACACCCCATGTTATCCTTTTATAGGCCACCTGCCACCTTCCCCCAATCCATATCACATTATGCTGAGTGAAATAAACCAGTCACAAGGGGCTGCATACAGCATGATTCCATTGACATGAAGACCAGGTCACCCAAATCCTTAGAGACAGAAAGTGGTTTCGTGGTTGCCAACAGCTGGGTGAGGGAGGAGTGTGGACTAACTGATAAATGGATACAGTGGTGCCTTTGGGGTGATGAAAATATTTTGGACCAAAATAGAGATGATGGTTGCACACCATCGTGAATGTACGAAATGCTATTGAATTGTACACTTTAAAATGGTTACTTTTATGTTATGTGAATTTTACCTCAATTTAAAAAATGCAACCTCATGGCCCTCTGACTGTCCATGAGAGAGGCCAGACTTGCAGGGCAGGGTCTGCAGTTTCCTGAGAACCCACAAGCAGACACGTCCTTATGAGATGCATGCCCTGGAAATTTCTTTCACAACGTGTTTATGACTCCTGGACATTTTGGGCTGAACAGTCACAAGAGAAGCTAGTCATGCTCAATCATATTTTGCTTCCATGGCATTTTCCCACCCTCAGCCTCCTACTCCTTTTCATAGACACACACACAAACACATTCTGCTATATCTATGGATCCAGCCTCTGAGCCCTCAAGGTGGAGGAGTTCACAAGCGGGCAACCACTCATCTATTTGCCATAATAATGTTACTTCAGAAATGTTACACAAATAGAGACCAGATGCAGTGGCTCACACCTGTAATCTCAGCATTTCGAGAAGTCAAGGCGGGAGGATCGCTGGAGACCAGGGATCCTGGTCTGTCACCATAGTGAGACCCTGTCTACACAAAACAATTTTTAAAAATGGGCCAGGTGTGGTGGTGTGTGCCTGTAGTCCCAGCTATTCAGAAAGCTGAGGCAGGAGTATTACTTGAGCCCAGGACTTCAAGGCTGCAGTGAGCTACAATCGCACCACTGCACTCTAGCCTGGGCAAGAGTGAGAACCTGTCTCAAAAACAAACAAGCAAGCAAAAACAAATGGAAACATGCAATATACATTCATTTTAGATTGTTGCTTTTCCTTTTTTACATTTCAACTTTTATTTTACATCCAGGGGGTATATATGCAGGTTTGTTACAAGAGTATATTGTGTGATATTTAAGTCTGGGGTACAACTGAAGTCATCACCCAGGTAGTGAGCATAGTACCCAATAGGTAGCTTTTCAGCCTTTGCCCCTTCCTCCCTCCCCTCGATTGTAGTCCCCAGAGTCTACTGTTCTCATCTTTATGTTCATGTGTACTCAGTGTTTAGCTCCCACTTATAAGTGAGAACGTGTGGTGCTTGGTTTTCTGTTTCTGTGTTAATTCGCTTAGGATAATGTCCTCCAGCTCCATCAATGTTGTTGCAAAGGATATGATTTTTTTCTTTTTTTATTGCTGCATAGGATTTCATGATGTGTATGTACCATATTTTCTTCAGCCAATCAACCATTGTGGGCATGTAGGTTGATGCCACATCTTTGCTATTGTGAACAGTGCTGTAATGAACATCCCAGTGCATATGATTTTTGGTAGAATAATCTATTTTCCTTTGGGTATAAACCCAGTAATGAGATTGCTGGGTCAAATGGTAGTCCTTACTTTTAGTTCTTCGAGAAATCTCCAAACTGCTTTTCACAGTAGCCGACCTAATTTACACTCCCACAAACAGTAAAGTAAAAAAGGACAAAGAAGGTCACTACATAATGATAAAGGGTGTAATTCAACAAGAAAATTTAACTATCATAAATATATATGCACCCAGCATTGGCACACCAATGTCCTAAATCAAGTACTTTTCAAGACCTACGAAAACACTTAGGAAGCCACACAGTAATAATGGGGGACTTCAACAACCTACTGATAGTGTTAGACCGATCACTGAGGCAGAAAACTAACAAAGAAATTCTGGATTAAATTTGACTCTTGACCAACTAGACCTAATAGACATCTACATACTACTTTACCCAAAACCACAGAATATACATTCTTCTCATCTGCACACAGAATGTACTGCAAGATAAACCACATGCTCAGCCATAAAGCGAATCTCAATAAATTTCGAAAATTGAAATAAAAGCAAACAAATTCTTGGACCACAGTGGAATAAAAATAGAAATCAATACCAAGAGGACCTCTCAAAACCACACAATTACATGGAAACCAAACAACTTGCTCCTGAATGACTTTTGGGTGAACAACAAAATTAAGCAGAGATTGTTATTTTTTTTCACTCAGTATAAATTACACCAGGTTTATCCAATAGTTAATTCCTTTTTATTGCTGGGTAATATTCCATGGTATGCATGTACCACAGGGTTTTTTTTTTTTTAAGCAATTACATATCAAGGGACTTTTTTGTGTGTTTTGGTACTATAAGGCTGCTATGAATATTTGTGGATACGTTTCTGTATGAAAACAAGTTTTCATTTTTTTAAGAATGATTAAGAGGGCAATTGCTGTGTCATATGCTAAGTCCATTTTTAGTTTGAAAATGAACTGCCAAACTATTTTCCAGTGTGGCTATACCATTTAACAGTCCCACCAGCAATATATGATTTACCCAGTTTCTCCGCTTCCTTGCCAGCATCTGGTGTCTATTTTCTTATTTTAGCCATTTTGACTACTAGGTAATAATATCTCACTTTGGTTTTAATTTCCATTTTACTAATGGTTGTTGATGTTGAACATTTTTTAATGCATTTATATATGCCATCTGTATATCTTCATTGGTGAAACATCTGTGCCTGTCTTTTGTCCATTTTCTTATTGGATTTTTAAAATGTTGAGTTTTGAGAGCTCTTTATGTAGTTTTGATACTAGTTCTTGATATCTAGATATATGGTTTGCCAATATTTTCTCCCAGTCTGTAGCTCGTATTTCATTTTTTTCTTTTTTTGAGAGTGCAGTGGTATGATCTCGACTCACTGCAACCTCTGCCTCCTGGGCTCAAGCGATTCTCATGCCTCAGCTTCCCAAGTAGGTGGTACTACAGGTGTGCGCCACTACGCCCAGCTAATTTTTGTATTTTTACTAGAGACAGAGTTTCATCATGTTGGCCAGGCTGGTCTCGAACTCCTGAGCGTAAGCGACCAGCTTGCCTCAGCTTCCCAAAGTGATGGTATTAACAGGCACGAGCCACCACGCCCGGTTATATTTCTTCTTAACAGAATATTTTGCATAGCAAAAGTTTTTTATTTTAATGAGGTTCACTTTATCAAAATTTCCTTTTATGGATGGCGACTTTGGTGTCAAGTCTAAGAACACTTTAACGTTAGATCCCAAATATGTTCTATTTTTGAGTAAGTTTTACAGTTTAAGTTCTTCTGATGTTTAGATCAAGGTGTTTTTTGTTTGTTTTTTGCCTATGGGTGTTGGATTACTACAACACCATTTATTAAAAAGGCTAACCCTCCTTACTGGATTCCTGCTTCGTCCAAAACAAAGGGACACAAGGAAACTTTTCCAGGGAATTGATGTTTGTTATTTGATTGTGGTGATGGTTTCACAGGTATATGAATATGTCCAAACTCATCAAATTGTATACATTAAATATGTGCAGATTTTTGTATATCAATTATACTTTAAGCTGTAAAAATAAATAAATTGGGCATATTTGTGGATCTATTTCTGGGCTCTCTATTCTGTTTCACTGATATATGAGTCTGTACACCACCAGTATCAGACTGTCTAGAATACTGCTGCTATATAATTAACTTTAACAACAGTAAGAGTGATTTCTCTAATTAATTTTTCCTTATTCAATAGTTTTGGCTAGTATAGGTCCTGTGCCATTCTATACATCCTATATAATTTTTATAATAAGCCTGTGTAAGTTCAAAAACATTGCTAAAATTTTCGTAAGAATTGTCTTAAAAATAGATCAACTTAGAGAGAATTCACATCTTTACTATGGTGAGTTTTCCAATCCATGAACATAATGTATCTCCATATATTTAGGTCTTCTTTATTTATTTTACTAGCACTTGGTAACTTTTATCATACAGATTCTGTGCATGTTTTGTTAGTTTTATATGTAAGAGTTTCATTTTCTTTGCAGAAATCATAAATGCTATTGCATTTTTTTTTTTTTTTTGAGACGGAGTCTCACTCTGTGGTCCAGGCTGGAGTGCAGTGGCGCGATCTCGGTTCACTGCAACCTCTCTCTCCCGGGTTCAAGAGACCCTCATGCCTCAGCCTCCTGAGTAGCTGGGATTACAGGCACACACCATCATGCCCAGCTAATTTTTATATTTTTAGTCGAGACAGGGTTTCACTATGTTGGCCAGGCTGGTCTTGAACTCCTGACCTCAGGTGATCCGGTCGCCGGGGTCTCCCAAAGTGCTGGGATTACGGGCATGAGCCACTGCGCCTGGCCTGACTTCTACTTTAAAATTCTTGTCAGATAATTTCAACATCTAATTTATCTAAGTGATAGCATTAGTCGATGTCTTTTCTCATTCTAGTTTTGTTTGTTTGTTTTGGTTCTCAGTATGCAGGCGACTTTTGATGGTACTCTGGACATTTTGTCCATTATATATGCAGAATCTGGATCTTATTTCAATCTTTTATTTTAGCAGGTATTTACCATACGTAGTTCAATACACAGGTGCCATTCTACTTTTATGGGCTGTGGTCCCAAAGACAGTTTTATTTTCAGAGTATTTCTCGTGTTATTGAGGCCTGCTTGGTTTATCTAGTGATGCTGGTACTCTCAAAAATCCTTGATGGTACATTCTGAGTGGGCAGAAGGAGTTCCCCAGACTAGGGTGCTGGTGCTGCTAGGTAGAGTAGGGGTTTCTTAGATCTATAGAGATAAAAGTGTTTCCTAGATAGGATTATTGTGTTAGAATCCCTATACTGGTACCCTCCAGCTGCTCCAATGTCTCTGGGTAAAAGTGGAGGGATTCTCATGGCCATAGCGTCCAACGGGCTTCCCAGGCTAGTCACTCTTTGTGGTGGATAGCCTTACCAGTGCTCTGTGTTTGCCCAGGTATCTCTGGGTGGGGAAGAGAAGTCCTAGGTCCATATGACCAAAGATGCTTTCTGAACCAGGTCACTTATTATGATTGTGTCTCTTGTAATTTCTGCCTTTCCACCTCGATGTCTTCCTGTCGGAAAAGAGAGCCTCAGTTCTGCAGGTATGAAGAGGCTTCAGTAGTTAGGACACTTGTGGCAAGATCTCTGTGCCTATTGGGAACAGACAGTGCTTTCTGGATGGGATTTTGTTCTTGAGGGATCCCTCTTCTAGTACCCTGTGGCTGCCCCAGTATCTCTGTACAATAGAGGGCAGCCTCAGACCCACAGGAACAAAGAGGCTTCCTGCACTAGGCCACTTAGAGTGGTAAAATCCCTTGTGGCAGTTGCACCCAGCCACCTAAGTATTTCCTGTTGTGAGTGAGAGTGAGTGAGAGTGTCTTAGGCCTGTAGGGACAAAGAGGCTTCCGAGGTTGGGCCACTTGCTGTGACAAAATTCCTCTAAACAATACTGCCACTTGTCTATTTTTCAGCAGAGCATGGTAGTCCTAAATCCCTGGGAAAGGAGAGGCACTTACCCTAGCTGCTTAATGTTAGATGGGCTCCCATTCAATAGCCCTTGCCAGTTATACCAGGCTCATCTGGTATTGTCTGAGAGACTCCTATTCAATTCAGAGAGGAAACTAGCTGGGCTGCCTTCTGCTACTAGGCTTGAAAGTTGGAAAATGACAGGTGGGGGTCCCCATCTTCTGTTGGATAGGGGCACATATGAGAATGTGCTGCAGTTTATTTTCCTCTAGCGCGAGGCTCTCAAAGCAGTTTGCTTTTCTCTGACTATCCTTTACAATTTTCTTTTGATGGCCTCTTGTTTTGTTTCTAGGTTTTATTGTTCTTCTTCACTATGAGGAGCAGGGAAAAATCAGTTTATGCCATCTTGTCCGAAATGGAATTCTCAGTCTTGTTTTAATATGTTTTAACACGTGATTCAGATAACTTGGTTTTTAAAATGTGCACAACTTTTAAAAAGAAATGTTCCAAAAGCTAAATATACATTTAATTGTACCATGCTGCGTGTAGAGTAGCTGGTAACTACTGAAATCATAAGTACATGTCAGCCTTTGAAATTAATAACAAATAAAACATCAACTTGGTCAAATGCGGTGGCTCACGCCTGTAATCCCAGCACTTTGGGAGGCCAACGTGGGTGGATCACCTGAGGTCAGGAGTTTGAGACCAGCCTGACCAACATGGTGAAACCCCGTCTCTACTAAAAATACAAAAAATTAGCCGAGCGTGGTGGTGGGCACTCGGGAGGCTGAGGCAGGAGAATTGCTTGAACCCAGGAGGTGGAGGTTGCAGTGAGCTGAGATCGCACCATTGTACTCCAGCCTGGGTGACAAAGAGCAAAATTTGGTCTCAAAGAAAAAAAAAAAAAAACATCAACTATACCAAGTGATGAGTAGAATGACTGTACTAGGTATGTTCGTTTTCATTGTATATTTAGTATTTATTTAAGCAACCTAACTAAAAATAGTGCCGACAATAAAAATATCTCAATTTACAGAAATATATAAAACTTTAATATGTAGATTGTATTTTATTATTTAATTTTATGAAAACATCTGTCGAGGCCAGGTGCGGTGGCTCACACCTGTAATCCCAGTACTTTGGGAGGCCGAGGCGGGTGGATCACAAGGTCAGGAGATTGAGACCATCCTGGCTAACATGGTGAAACCTCATCTCTACTAAAAATACAAAAAATTAGCTGGGCATGGTGGCGGGCGCCTGTAGTCCCAGCTACTCAGGAGGCTGAGGCAGGAGAATGGCGTGAACCCGGGAGGCGGAGGTTGCAGTGAGCCAAGATCGCGCCACTGCACTCCAGCCTGGGCGACAGAGAAAGACTGTCTCAAAAAACAAGACAAAACAAAACAAATCTGTCAAAATTATGCAAACAAAAATGTCTACCAACTTGAAATTACAGATGAGTACATGACTATAATTTTATATATATATATAAAATACACATATAACATATGATAAAGTATTCATTAATCATTTATGTCTCTAGTTTGAACAACACAGGGAGTTCAACATGCACCTAGCACACTGCGTAAGCCTTTCTATAGATGTTTTAGCCAAGATCAAGACTGTCTATTAATAAGACATCTAAAACATTTAATCAAGCACATTTGGTTTGAATATAAAAAGATGATAGAGCAATCAGGTTTTTCTCAACAATTAGTGTTTTTTAACAAAAGGACATAACAGTGCATAGCCAAAAATTTATTAATTTTTGGAACTTTTAGTTTCCAAATTCTTCTTCATTAAACACAAGATAAAAATACTTAACTTTTTAAGACAGGTGAATAGAAGGAAATTTTTGCTGAGCCTCTTCTACTTTTTATGTTAAATATTTTATTCTATGCTTTTTATCATGGCTTACACAAACCTTCATAATGTTGCTGCAATATATTTACTGACTATCAATGCTCTCTTCAAATTTGGTATAGGTATATTTTTCAGCCTTTCCCCCTTCTTGTCTCCAGTTACAGGCCCTTTTATGGGCCTATAACGTTGGTTTTCTATCTCAATTCAAAATTCAAAAGAAAAGACTTTAAAAATCATCTTTTTTTTTTTGCCCTAATGCTTAATTTAGAGCGTAGCACATAGATATTCCCAATATGTTCTCATTAAAGGTATTGATCTTTGATTTTTAAAAGTAAGTAACAACAAAACTGTGAGAGAGGAGCAGCTTTTTCCTTTGAGAACTGTGGTTTAAATGCAGTGAGGGGTATTAATGACTACATAAATGACTTCCTATTTCAGTGAAGTGTTTAATAAGGTCTTTAAAACAGTACTTCATAGCATCCTGCTCTTCAAAGCAACATCTGTGGCTCTTTTTGGTTCCAATAAGTGATAAATAACAACAGGATTTTGGTTCACGTAAGGACCTAAAACAGGAGAGTTGGTTAAGCTATTCATACATGTTGCTTTGTAATTGGGCTGATGTAATTTTATTTTATTGTGTTCAAAATTTACACTGGTATTTTGTCAATTACCTTTTTTCTCAACTTACAAAGTACATTTTTAAAAAAGAAAACCATATACAAAGCATAGGTTGTGTAATATAATGAACCAGTCATTATTCTTCTTATCTCTCTATTTAAATCATAGATTTCAAAAAGTTTAATACGAATTCATTTGTGTGTGTGTGTGTGTGTGTTATAATGTAGTGGAGAAGCAAACTTGATACATTTAATGCTGTAACATTACATATTGATGCATTCATAATTCAAAGTAACATGATAGAAAGAAACATACATGTGAAGGCATTAAAAACATTTTTGTTTGTAAGGATTTTGAAACTTGGAGGATCAAATAATATAACTCAGAATTCTTTCTGTCAAAATAATGTGGAACAAGAAACACACTAAACAAGAGATATTTGGGAAGTTCTACTCAGTCCATAATTTTTCTCCCTTCTCTGGCGACTATCACCCTCCAGTCAAACAATCCATAAGCAGAGTCCTTGATATCATGTTTGTATTGTGTGATATTTGCCTCTAGGACAAGGCTGACTGGACCAAGATTGAGGCCTGATTCAACTTGGAACAAACAGATGCACTTCCTAAAATACTTTACCTGAGACTCATAAAATGAGAATTTGTGCAATGAGTCATTCTTAGTAGCATACCACTATGGAGATGGCCTATGGCCCCATCATTCCCATGGCCTGTAGGTTAAATTTTTCTTGGGTTCTACCAGTAGATAATCCAGAGTATGCACAAATACACCTTGAATTTTGAATTGTATTTTGTTTGGGTTTCTGTTTCTTGCAAGAAAGAAAGACATTATTGATATTTACAAGATGACTTAAAAATCAGGTATATTCTAAAAGAAAAGATGAGACTACTTGAGATACCAAAATAAACAGGGAACAAAAATATTACCAACATATTATCGTGATGTAGATAGGATTTTTTTCAAGAAGCTTGAGAGCATATTAGTATTGCATTTGGTACATAATCTGAATAGGACCATACGATAAAGAACACTGTACAATGTTCCACCAAAGTATACCTTAATAACAACAATAGCTTTTATAAAAATTCTTGTTTTATATATCTAGAATTTTACATAAATGTAAAAAATAATGTAGATGTTATATCTCATTTAAATATCAATATAAAAGTTAATTGGCTGATACAAATACATCCAACTTACTCAACTTATTTATTTTCTTTTGAGAAAGGTAAAATTAGAGAAGTCCAGAGACTTATACAATGAGTACATATCTCCAGGAAATCATAATTATGAATAATCTGTCCTAATTTATTGTGCATAATCTAATTATAAAAGAAAATGATTCAAATACATGTGAAAACACTTTACTTCCTTATCTCCAGGCCTGTTCTCCTGCTCTCGTCTTTATAAGAGGCCATGATATATGAATTTTATGTTCATTAATTTAGCTCAATTGTTCTGCTTTTCACATACATTCCTATATCCATAAACAATACATAATGTTGTTGTTGTGTATGTATGTGTGTATGTTCTTTACAAATTTACTTGAGTGCTTGGCATCCTTCATTGAGCTAATGAGCTATCCATAAGAATCCATGTTGATCCACTCCATACCCAGGTAGTATCGCTGACAGGCTGTTCAGCCTCTAATTGTATTATATAGCTCTTCTTGCATGCAGGTGTGGTTATTTGATTTGTTTCTCCCAGTAGAATATGAGTGGAAGTAATTTGTGTCAATTCAGAGCTTCAGATTTTAAAAAGCTAATATATCTTCTCTGCTGTTTCTTTCCCATTCTATGGATGTATGCAGATGACTCTGAGGTTGAAGAGATGCGGGGGAGCAACAAAATGGAAGACGTCTGGATCCTTGCATCGTCACATGCAGGAAAGCAACACGCTGCCATGGAATGCCATGGACTGTGACATGAGCAAACAATAAATATCTGTTGTGTTAAGGCACTGAAATTGTGGGTTTGGTTTGCTATGCTAGCTAGCATTAAAAGAATGAATATACTATCACGCTTTGCAATCGTTCTACAACTTTCCTTTTTCACTCAATATTATATATTTGGGTTACATAATTATTGTGAGATATGGATCTAATTAATACAGGGTTTTTCAAAAGTGGCACTTTTAACGTTTTGGACTGATAATTGTTTGTTCGGGGGAGGCCGTCCTTTGCATTGTAGGATGTTTGCCAGAATCTCTGTCTTCTACCTACTAGATGCCAGTACAATGCTACCACTTCCGCAGTAATTACGATAAAAAAAACTGCAGACATTGTCAAATGTCTTATTCATGGCCAAACTCATGCCTGGTTGAGAACCACTTATCTAATACACTCTTTTTAGCTGCTTGATAGTATTTCACCACAGGCATCAAGGATATTTATTATATTTTTACACTATTGAACAATGAAAATCCTTGTAACTGATTTTGAGCTGAATTATGATACCCATACTAGCTGCTTAAGAAGAAGAAATGCCTTTTCTTCAACATCAATAAAAAGTAAAGCATAAAATTATATAGATCTGAAAAGTAAGGAACGGTTAAAAAGACAGGAGTAGAATGTAGAGCACTAGGCCAGTGCAAAAATAGAAGCTGAACTCTAAACTGGGACACAATCACACCTTAGTTGTTAATTTAAGTAATGGATGCTTCTGAGTTAGGAATATTAGCTCACTCACACCACAATCCATCATCAGGCAATCCTTTATGATTCTTACCTTCTCCAAAACAATTCCTACCATTCAACTCATCTGCAAAGCCTGTCAGTGCTCCCTGCAAATAATACTTCATGTGAGGCTACTTTCTTTCCTTCATAAGTGCCACTACCCTTGTCAAAGCCACCCCGCAAAAGTGAAAGAGCCTCCTCGAGGTGAATGGCTTTCCAGCCTTCTGGAAAGCTGGCTGAGCCACTGATGATGATGTGGCCTTTTTATTCTAGGTTTAGTTTAAGGATTATAAAAAACCAGATATTTATATAAATATTCTCTTGAATGGAAGCACATAGATGATTAGTTCAAATTCTTTCGAAGTGGTGATGTAATATCCCAGTTGAACAGGGTAAGGTAAAAATAAAGATTTTACTTTCTATAACTAGGCAGATCTCACATTGGGCCTTTAGTGTCATGGGTGCCATTCCACTGGGAAATCTGATGGACCGGGGAAGCCATATTTCCGAATAGGTTATCTGTTCCTATTTATGTGGTCATCCAGTTTTTGAAATTTTTTAACTAAATCAATTGCAAACTTCATCTAACCTTATTGTATAGATAAACACAATTTACTTCGGCCAACCTGTACCCAACATAAAACTCTGTATCTCCTGAGATCTTGCCCTCTCTATATTCTTCTCACTGCAAACAGCATCAGAGTAATGCCCAAGTGTACATCCCATTGTGACATCCCCTCAAATTGTTCAATGGCCTCCTATTGACCTTAGGATGAAGTTAAAACACTCTAGATTCACAGGTGTCCCGTCAAACTTTCCTGCCTCATTTCATGGCTCCACAGATGCTGGCCTCTATCATTTCCCTAAGTTCGCTAATTCTTCGAAGCTTAAGAGCCATTGTACATGTTATTTCTCTGTACTGAATGTCTTCCCCTTCTCTCTCCCTCCAATTTTTATAGTTCAGAGGATCTCAGCGTAAATATCACCTTTCCAGAAAGGTCATTAGAACATTAAGGATTGTAACCAAGAGACAATAGCTGTTGGTTTTATTTTTTATTCTTGTGGCATATGCCAACTAACTTGCACAGTGCCTAAAGTCGAAAAGGGCTCAGTTACTATAGACACAAGCAAATATGACCTGAGCTACCAACAAAATTACATCCGAAGACAACAGGAAGACGAGACTGTGAGGTTTCCAAGTTTATAGACAAGGTCAGACAAGGAAGTCATTAGGCTCGTCTCTGTCAATTTTGAACAACAAAGTTATTATTTCTATCTTGCAACAACAAAATATAGTTTTTTTAATTAAAAAAATCTTCATTTAAGAAATTGCTGCAGGAAAATAACTTTGAATTGCAAGTATAAAGAAAATTTTCTGAGCCCTAGATGCTCTTTTTTTCCTTTGAAAACCATTATTTTCAAAGGAAATTGTTTTAAAACATAATTTTTTAAAATAAGGTGTAAACGCTCATTCACAGAAGAGCCCTAAGTCATGCTACAATAAAGATGTAAGTAGAATATGGGATTTGAGTCATTTTTTCAATCCAAGGAAAATTTCAGAACAAAATATTTTTGGAGGTGTCCAATATTTGTTTAGTTTCACACAGAAAGACACTATTTACATTCAATATATTTTAAAAACTGTACACATGTTCTATAAGATTATCAATACCAATTTACTCATTTTTCAAAAACTATTTTTTAAGTGTTTGTTTGACAATAAGAAAATTCTTTTAGGTGGTGTTTCAAGGAAGGCCACACATTTTAACATAATTCTAAGTTGAGGTGAATTCATAATATAAGACATTTTGATATCTGTCAACAAAGACTCTTTACTTGAAGAACAGTCATTCAAGGTCTGTGTCCTTAAATATAACATTCCAGATAGCTTTTAATTTCAAGTCTTTTATTTCCAAAAGATTTTCTGTGGATTATCTATTATAGTTACTAACAAAATAATAATTCACACCAGGCAATTATATCCTGGTATTTGATAAAACTTGGATGTTTACCATTTCAAGAATGATTTCCTGAAAAAGAAAAAGAAAACAGCTGATATTCAAAGTCAGCCATTTTCTGCAGAATGAGCAATTATTTAAAAGGAAATAACTTTTAAATGAGCGCATATATTCCAGGCACATATTTTCTGCTGCTTACTGAACAAGTCCACTTCAAACATAACATGACATGAATAAAAAACAAAAGAAAACAAAACGAATTCCACCCCAAATGTGCTCCTCCTTATATATTTCTCACCTTGGTAAATGGAACTACTATTTATTAAACTTCTCTTGTCAGAACTTTGTATCATTTAAGATTTCTGTCTTCCTCACCTTCATTTAATCAAGCTTCAAGACACGTAGATTCTACCACTAAAAAGTGTTTTTAAACAGTGTCTATTGTTACTATTCTAATCAAAATCATATTACACTTATGACTTTATAAGTACTACGACCTCCTACTGGTCTTTCATCTTTCCTCAGCCTGTTGATCCTCCAATCCCTATATAAGTACCTCTATTCCCAATAAAGTCTCTCTGCCACATGAACTCACAATGAGCTTTAAAAAGATAAAGATGATGATGTTATTCCGTTTGACTAAATCTCATAAGCGGCTCCTTATTTTTTTGGTTATAAAATCCAGAATGCTAAACACGAACTATAGGATGCTGCATGAGGTAATCCCTGTTTACATATCTCCCCCAACCCATGTTGATTCATTCATCTTTCCTCATTCTAGCTGTGCTTGACTTTAGTTCCTCAAATATACTTGCTTCTTTATGTCTCAGGTCTTTAATACATGCATGCTATACAAGCCAGAAAACATCTTACCACCACCCTCAAGTAATATAAACTAGACAAGTGCATACAATGTCTTTAATTCCTGGTCAATTTTTATCTTCAAGTGAACTTTACTATAAGTGAAAGCTTTTGTTTGCTTGATTTATACATGGTCACAAAATAAGCTGCCAGAAAGTCGAATTTCTTTCCTCCTAGCTTAAAAATACATCTACCCCTCCTTCATCCTTAAAAAAGAAAATGCATCTTCATAAAAAGATTACAACTTTTGAATATAAAAGTCATGTTTTTCAAACAACGGATATATTCTCAACATATATGTATTTCCCACCAATTATGAGACACAACAAAAAAAGAAAATTTCAGGCCAATATCCCTGATGAACATCAATGCAAAAATCCTCAATAAAATACTGGCAAACTGAATCCAGCAGCACATCAAAAAGCTTACCCACCACGATTAAGTCGACTTCATCCCTGGGAAGCAAGGCTGGTTCAACACATGCAAATCAATAAACATAATCCAGCACATAAACAGCACCAATGACAAAAACTACGATTATCTCAATAGATGCAGAAAAGGCCTTCGATAAAATTCAACACCCCTTCATGCTAAAAACTCTTAATAAACTAGGTATTGTTGGAGTATATCTTAAAACAATAAGAGCTATTTATGACAAACCCACAGACAATATCATAGTGAATGGGCAAAAGCTGGAAGCATTCACTTTGAAAACCCGCACAAGACAAGGATGCCCTCGCTCACCACTCCTATTCAACATAGTATTGGAAGTTCTGGCCAGGGCAATCAGGCAAGAGAAAGAAATAAAGGGTATTCAAATAGGAAGTCAAATTGTCTCTGTTTGCAGATGACATGGCTGCCATTTATCCCCATGTAATGCCTTCTAATCACACTGATGTTCTCGTTATTTTGTCTTGAATTAAAAAGTCTTTTTATTATAATAATTATTATTTCACTGGAAAAAGCTACATATAAATAAAAAGAGAAATACTTATAATTTTATTGCCAAGAGATAGACACCCAATTTATTTGAAGACTATTTCCAAACGACAGTTTTTTCTGTGTCTCCGTCTTCATCTTTCCCACATTCTGCTTCGATATATGTTACCCTAAAAATCCTACTACATATATTGTTTTGTAACTCACTTGTAATATTTTTCAATAGTTTCTGGCCATGTTTCTACTTTTATATACTGAAACAATTCAATAATTTGATGGCTGCATAATTTGCTATTTTATAAATCTTATATAATTTATTTGACCACACTTGTATTAGGGAATAAGATGTAACCCATTTGTATATTCATGCAAATTATATATGCCAATTTTAACATTTAATACACATTGTCCACATTATCTCAAGCAAATTTATAAGAATGTATGTATTCCACTACTAATACTGCACAAGACTTTCTATTTTCATCAATCTTAGGAGTAATTACCACGGTGGGTTTGTTTTCATTCCCTTCCCCAAAACTTCCGTAACAATCTTTGGGGTTTTGTCACATCTCCCTTCACACCTACATCACCTTTAAAACCAAGAGTTAGGACTCATTTTGGAATCATTTTTTTATACAGCTCAAAGTCAGTTACATTATATTTAGTACCATTAGAAGATACAAATTTTCCTCAACACTTTCTGGGTGTTGGAACCTCAAAACTATTTTAAAAGAGTAGCGAAGATAATATCTATGTTGAAATGAATAAAATAGATCTATCATGAATATCATGTTTTATAAAACAGAAATGTATCAATGAAAGATCATAAGTTAACACTTTAAAATATATGTTATTTATAAACAGATATACATATTCGGAAGATCTTCAAAGTAGTACATTGATTCTTATCCAAATTTGATTTGAGAGCTACTGGTTTTAAATTTGTAATACAAATTACGATGGGGTGCGGATTTCCTAGGCCAGTTTTTTATGTACAATTGAATGTAGAAAATCTACAAAAAAATAGTAGGATACAATCCTGGATTTTGGATTCTGGAGACAGTGGACCACATTGTATAGGTGATTGAATGAATGAAATGAGAAGATATATAGATGAAGAAAAAAAAGAAAGAAAATATACAAAGGAGGAGATGATTGGAGGAAAAACAGATGCCAGGACAAGATTCTGAAGTATATATTTTTGGTTTTGCTTTTATCCCTCACCTATTAAACCCTGTTTCATTTGACTCCTACTCTATTTTCTAACCTCATCTCCCATTGTTGCTCTTACCATTGCCCTCTCTACTCCAACCACACAAGTCAATTTTTCTGCTTCTCTTTTTTTAGTCCATTCCTCCCTTTGTGCTTCCTGTTTCCCTATATAGAATTCTGTTATCCAGATCATCACATGTATAGGTCTGTCTATTATCTCATGTATCAGCTCAGCTATCACTGCTTCATAGTGGCCTTCCCTTTTCTTTGAATTGAGAAGCCCTTAAATCCAGATTCACTCACTATAGGTTATGTGATTATCCCTCAAAATCATATTCTTTAAATATTTGATTTTTATCTTTTCTCACTAGTAAGTATGCTCTGTGAAAACCAGGCGATGTCTCTTTTTCACCCTAGACCTGTCAGTGCCTAATATAGTACCTTGGCTATAGCAGGTTGTCAGTGACTCTTGCATTCATTGAGATTAGAACTGAGCTACAAGTGACAGAAAATCCAAAATAACCAATATCAGGAACAATGGAAGTTTGCATCTTTCTGAAATAAGAAGAGACAGTTGAGAGGCAGTACAGTGGCTCCATGATCATCAGGGACATTGGACAATTTATATTATTAGTTTGTCTTCTTCAACATACAACTTCCATTTTGTAGTCCAGATGGCTATTCAAGCTCCAATCATCACATTGCCATCCAAGTAACAGTGAGAAATAACAAGGAAGATAGGGGAAGATGGACTTCTCTTCCTAGAAGTTTCACACATTAATTCTTATTATGTCCTATCAGAACCAGGTCACATGATCATACCTAGCTGCAATGGAGGATGAAAAATTTAAACTTTATTGTAGGATGTTCATTTAAGCCCTCTCTCGATACCTGCCTCTAGGCTAAACATATAAAAGGAACCCGTTTCTCACTAACTCACCCCAAACCAATAATTCATAGTGTAGCTAATATTAAGTATGTGTCCAAAAGGTAGATAACTGCCCAAACGTTTTATATTCTTCCTCACCAAGAGGTAAAGGGTCAACTTCATTCTTCTGCATGTGAATCTCAAGTTTTCTCAGCACCGTTTGTTTAAAAGATGATTCTTTCTCATTTTCATGGTCTTAGCCTCTCCCTCATTTATGAGAGGAAGGATCTGCGCTAGGTGTGGTAGCTCAGGAGATACAGAAGCAGCCACATCTCTTCAGCTATGACCAGACGTGGTGATAAGCCACAGCAGCTTCTGCTGATAAGTAAAAAGAAGAAGAGAATCACGTAGAAGAAGCACCCTGTTTTTGGCCATGTCTATCCAGAGTAAAGTTTCTGTCACACAGAGCTAGAGAGAGTGGGGTTGGGGTGGGGATTGTTGCTCAAATGTCATTAACTTTCACTGTTCTGACTGAGATTTTGCAGGTTTTTTTGTTTTGAATAAATATTTCTCCATTTGCTATATGCTCTTAAGACCATTTCCAGAGACTTTCCATGGTTATTTTATTACAATTTTCACCAGTTACAGTTGTTTTACTCGGGACAGCATCCATGGAGCCCCTGACACTACACACTACCATTTCAGAAGTGTTTCTCTCCAAAATGTTCATGTTTATATTTCGCCATAGTTTTTTAGTTAATATTTCACAAACTTGTAAAATGTGAGTATCTTCACCCCAACCTTCAGGACTGCAGTGGCAGAGGCCATGAATAGGAGGTAGAGTAGATTGATTTAGTTTTAATTTAGAAAAATGAACTCATATAAGTAACAATTGCAGGTAAAAATTAGGATTTAGACTTTGCATTTGTAGGCTCTGTTTTCTTATATTTATTAAGTTTAATATATTTGATACTAGGTAGTAAAATGTTTACTACCGAAAAAAAAAACTTTTGCCAAAATGTGTCAAATTTTTTATTTTATAGCAAATACTCTTCTAGTTAACATATATTTTATCTTCAGTGCCCAGTTATTTCAGCTTCATTAAGAGAAAAAAAAAAGGGAATCAAAGAGTAATATAGTGCCTTTTTGATTTTAAGACTAGCTCTTATTACCCTTGGCAATAGATTATAGAAATCATACAAGCAGTATATACAATTTCAAAGTCACACACAAAAGTATATTCTTGAATTATTTAAAAAGTTTCAACTCACAAATATTCACTGTAGAAACATACAAAACATCGAGAATTTAAAGGACATATGAAAACAACCAGAAAAGAGTTAAAGCATGGATTACGTTTAGTTTTACAATGAAAAGCAACAGAGACTTTGAAATTAAAGATTTACTATGGATTGTGAAAGCTGAATGCTAAATCTTAAGGAATTTTGAGGGCATACTATTAAACATAGCCCTTGTTAAAATTAAATAAACTTATGATTAAATAAATTATATTAAAGCAACTGTAATAAATGTTCAAAACTCATCACTTCTTAATTATTTTACTACATTTCACTGTCGTCTACACTTGTGAGGTTATTTGTATCCTTTTATCTGTATGGTGAAAATGCTATATAATAATTGGCCACTACCTATCTCATCCCAGCTCCACACTCAGCAACATCATGTTGATAGCTTGAAACTGGATGTGGTTGAAGTATTTACACCACAGAAATAAGCAAACACTAAGAATCATAGCTTGAGTTCTTTCTCACTGAGCTGGTGGTTAAAATATACCTACACAGTACACATCCCCAAAGAGACATATATAGAGAGATACAGACATAAGTATATATAATATAAATATATGGAGATAAAGATAAATACAAATAGTGACATAGATATGTAAATTCAGCTAGCTATATCAGCAAGGTAAATGAGTAAAAACTGAAAATTCGTCAGCAACTCAAGTTATATTTTTAGTAAAAATAAAGCCTTGTTCTAAACAAATTCAGAAACAAACACAGAGACTAACCAGTGACAACTGGTTATGCAATAAACATCCTGACAATTGCGGTGTGCAATAAACAGACCCACATCTACCATTATTTCCACAGGGATGTTGTAAATCCATTCACTGGCCAAACATTTACTGAGTTATTGACTACTCCCTATCAGTTTCTGTGCTATCTAGATAAAACAGTGAGTGACAAATAGTGGCTATCCTTAGGGAGCTAAAATTACACAAATGGACACAGAATTCTATCAACCGTATGACAAGAGACATCCATGGGGGATGAGCTAATATGTGATGACAAACTATTTTGTGACAAATATGATACTAAAATATTTATTTGCATTATCTCACATATATTCTATATGAATTCTGATATGTAACTATCATTTCTTCATTTTACCTATGAGATCCAGGTAAGTTAAATCATATCACATTATTTAGATTCTATATCCAATCAGCTGTTGACTTTTATCCATGTCTTTCATAGCTTTATTGGCTTTTCTCCTAGTAATGCTTTCTCTTGTGAAAGGTATTCCATATAATTATTAAAGCAAGGTTATTCCAAGTTAAAGTAATCCATTGTGGTGATGTCTCCCACATGAAACATCACTGTCTGAATGGAGCAAACTAAAAAATAAATAATAAAAGGCAGCTTTTTAAATTTAGGTGACAGAGCACAAGCAGATTCTATAAATTATAGCAGTTTCATAAAAGGTAAAATCCCAAGAAAACCTCTCAGAACTATTCACATTTTTGAATTTATGTCTTCTAGGGTACACTGTAGGATGTAGTTAAAGAAGAAAAAAGAAAAAAATAAGAGGTTTTTCAATATAATATGAATTCCAGTTTTATCATGATAGGAGAATATAGACTGTAGGAAGTATAATGGTACCAGATGCTTTTATTTGTCAATTATTACTAAATTTTAGAAAAAAGAAAAATTCTAGTTTTTGAGTCTTCCAGACTGAGCACCCATTTGACATACAATTTAACTTACCAAAATATGATAGCTACGTTATGAAGCTAGACACAATGATATGTTTCAAATGTATAATAATCAGAAATATCCCATTATTTGGTTTTATATAACATATACATAGCCCATATGTCAAAGGAAGACACAAAAAATAGTTTTAGTACCTGGTTGAAATTTTTGATTAAAAAATTTAGCTGATCCTTGAGAAATTTAACTGAATCTAAACTTATTCACAAAAGCTTACATTCACTTTGGCTTATTTGATGTTTAGAAAATTATTTTAATGATTTTATTCTTGCAGCATTTGCTGAATAGTGTTATTGTTAAGAATAACACCTCTGAAGTGATACTTCCTGAGATCCAATACACTTACTGTTTTAGATAACTTACGCTGTAGTTTTCATCTCTGTAGATGAGGTGGGATACACTAATACCTACTTATCAAGCAGTCTGACAAGTTTTAAGAATTATTATGTCCAAATTAAATTTAAACCAAATTAATAGTATATGCCAAATTGTGAATGTACACACACACATTAGTGTACATAATTATCTTTTTTTCCAAAAATATTTAAGTAAAAGAACATAAAGTTTAAAAATAGACTTTGATAGTAGACAGACTTTTTTTTTGATGAATTGGTAATATTCATTCTTGTTCTATAATTTTAAATAAAAAGTTTGTCTCATTGTATCTTTAAAAATACGTGTTGGTGAGGATTTGGAGAAAAGGAAACCCTCATGCACTGTTTGTGGGAATGTAAATTGGTACAGCCATTACAAAAAAAATAGTAGGGAGGTTTCTCAAACTATTAAAAATAGAATTACCATGAGATCTAGCAATTTCACTGTTGATTATTTACCTGAAGAACATGAAATTAGTATCTCAAAAATATATCTGTACTCTGACATTTATTGCTGCATTATTCACAATAGCCAAGATATAGCCACAACCTGTGTTTGTGGATGTATGGATGAATAAAGAAATTATGGTATGTATACAATGAAATATTATTCAGCCATAAAAAGAAGGAAATCTTGCGATTTGCAACAAGGTGAACTTGGAGGACATATGCTATGTGAAATAAGGGCAGAAAAAAATGAAAGACAAATGTTGCATGATATTATGTGTGGAATATAAAATGTTGAACTTATAGAAGTAGGGAGTAGAATAGCGGTTGCCAGGAGTGGTATAAATGGGGAGTTGTTGGTCAGAGAGTAGGAACCTTCAGTTATAGAGATCTAACGTACAGCATGGTAACTGTAGTTAATATTAATGTCCTTTATACTTGAAACTTGCTGAGGGAGTAGATCATAAGTGTTCTCATCACAAAAAAAAGAGACTACTATGCCCGGTGATGGATATGTTAATTATATCAAAATACCGTGTTGTATATCTTAAATATATAGAATGTTTTTATTTCTCAATAATACCTCCATAAAAATTAACAACAAAAAAGTATCCCTAAATGATTTCAATAACATATCATTACAGCAGCTACAAAAAGGACAAACTGATATTTAGCCACAAGCATGTGATGATCAACTGATTTTCACTATTAAGTTACTGTTCTCTTACCGTAAGAGGAAAATAGTTCCTTCATGTTTTAATAATCCCATTTCATCCAGAAACACAGAGATAATTCCCTGTGTTAGCCGCACATATCTCAATTCTTACTCAAAATTTAATTAATCTTCAGTGATGGAAAACAATTTCCTTCTATTAAGACCATATCATTGCTGAACGTCTTTAATTTCAAGAACCATTAACAAAATTTCAAACAATTTATGTTATTTAAAATAGAAGCTGAAAAAAGGAGAAAACTACACAAATATTTTACCATCACAACAAATGTGAATCACAGATTCAATATGTGATTCTTAAACACATTTCTTAAATATGTTTGCTGTTTTGGCTGCAAAACAATCGTCAATGTTGAGCGTATCGGACACTTTAGGAAAATCTTTAGTAATAACAAATTCTATTCTCTTAGTATCTTATTTCTTGCTGATACTCTGTGCCTATCCTAATAAGCAGGGGATGGCTACATACTGTAATCACTCAGGAAGATAAAACAGCCAACATTTTGAGTGTTGTTGGTCTCAGGAAGATAAAGCAGCCAACTTTTGAGTGTTGTTGGTTGATAGGTCTGAGAGAAAACAGAACACAGTAAAACATTCAATGGCTCTTAGAACATCTGTCCAAAAGTGACACAGTTCACTTCTTCGCACATTTCATTGATCCGGCATGTCACACAGCCAGACTCAACTTCAAGTGAGTGCGGAAGTGATTCCACGTACCAGAAAGGGGACAGAAGCGGAACAGCTATCAAGAGTCTTAATGTCTACCACCTCCACCTGTATCAGATAACCACAACTTCACAGAATATATTTCATAATAGGTACAGAGAATACATAACTTAAATGAAACTCATCATTATTAAAAATAAACTTTCCAAATATTTTCTCTATTTATTTTAAATGTAATTAAATCTTTATAAGCAAGGTCTGCAAATTTTTATTCTAATTTTTTTTTCCTGAGAGTAAGTGGTTATTATGTTACTCTATAGTTGAAAACCAAAATGAGAGAAAAGAAAAATGACATAATCAGAGTTAGAGAGATATAGGTAAAAACCCTGACTTTTTCTTTTGGTACTTGTAGGACTTTGCAGAAGACTTTTGATCTGAATGGCAGTAAGTTTCCTCAGGAAAATGAAATTAATATCATCTACCTTAAATAGGTGGTTATAGTGATTACATGAGCTAATGTTTATACAAATGCTGTCTTTTACTCCTTCCCTTCTTAGCTTCTATTTGAAAAAACTTTGGTAAGGAGCTGCAGCTTTTCAAAGGGGCCATAAACTTGACTCCGTGCAGATTCTAAGGAAGGCCTAGTGAGGAAAGATGGGCTAGGTAGTTGCTTCAGTTCTCTAAATTATGTGCAAGAATCTTAAAATGAAATATGCAAGAAAGATACAGTCTAGGGGTGGACAGGTAAAGAACAGGGAGAGGTAAAGGCAAGAATATTTGGCTGAATAATGGAATATGTTTTTCTAGCCATTCTGACAATTGGTAGATGTTTTACATTGTCCTTTTTTACATACTGCTGATATTTTCGACTTTAACTTTTCCTCCATGCCATTTTTACAATTACAGTTTGAATAAATTTTAATAATATAAAAGTCTCTTCTTGAATTTTGACTCTCTCCACTTTCCCATTCACCTTGATGTTTCCGATGATCCTTTAACTGTGGTAGCAGTTGCACTTAAATAGCATGCTGCAAATCCTACAGTGTGAGAGCTCTTTCTTTCTTTATGTTAAATTTCTAAACTGTATCCACTAGAGACAGCTCAGAAGAGACAATGAATACTAATCAAAAGAGAAAGAATCACTTGGTTGTGGTCACGCCTTAGCAAGAAACCCCTTTACCAGAAAAGACAACTGTTTTACATGCTACCTATATATTCCCAGTGGAAACAGCCACTTCACAACGACTTTAAAGTGAAGATGAATGAGTTTTATCATTGCTTTTTTGTGGTGCATAAACTAGACCTGAAACTATCCAGTATTTTATGATTGTTGCATTGAACATGCAAATTAGCAAATATTAGCTTTGATCAAATACCACAGCCACACCCAGAATGCTTGTACTAGTTTAAAGCCATCATTGGCAAAGGCCAGAATTCTTTGTTTTTAATGAAGAACATATAATTCCCATAAAGGCATGAGATTATCAGGCACCCATGTCAATATGATCAGGTGAAAACTTCTGGTTCATCCTCAACTAACCTTTTCCTATCTTGCTGATGAGGAAAATTTAATACTAAGCTAACTGTGGAGACAAACTATAACTCTTTGTAATGTTTGGATGCCATACTGTGATTGTTTGTGTCTTCTCAAACTTCATATGTTGAATTCTAATCACCAAGATGACTATATTATAAGGTAGTGCCTTTGGGAATTTATTGGGTCATGAGGGCTCTACCTTCATGAATGGGATTAATGCCCTTATAAGAGAGGCCCAAGAGGCCTTGGAAGCTCAGTGAGCGTGCCTGCACCTTGACCTTGAACTTCCCCGCCTCCATAACTGGGAGAAATAAATTTCTGTTCTTTATAAGCCACCCTGTTTATGGTATTTTTGTTACACCAGTCTAAAAGGACTAAGACACTGATTTGGGGAAGATTTTGGCAGTAATTGCTGTCTCTTTTACATACTCTTCCCCAATGTAAACTTCTATAATCTAATCAAGGGAGTTTAAACATAATAGCCATGTAACAGACACAGTGTAAAATATCAAAGATTTTTTAAGATGTAGAACCAGTCGCGTTAGTATTGTGGCTTCAGGGACAATGTATTTCTTATAGCAAAGAGACCAATTAACAAGGTTCGATAAAGCAGTATCCATGCACTCGCTGTCCTTCAGTATTTTGCATGAAGCCAAAGGCAGAATATGCTAGAAGTAGAAAAGCAGGAGGTTAAAATAACCATTATCACCAGGACCCTGACACCACTCAAGGCCAGGCATTGTCTGATTTAGGGAGAAGCATGAGTTTCCTTCCAAGTGGTATTACCTGTAAAAACCAGGGCAATTCACTCTCCAGGTAAGGCCTTAGGAACTGTACGTACACATTTTTCCATCTCAATTTTGCAAGCACCTCTTCAAAATAGTGTGTGGATACCCTGCCCACTCCAAACAGACAGAAATAGGTGGCTCTCTACATAATGCTTAGAAATTATACTTCATGGTATATTTTTTTTTAAGGAAGACATGCCAAGCATAATGATCTTATGCCCTTGTGAAACTTTTTAAAATTGTGAACACAGTGTATCTCATTCCAATTCGATTTTACAAAATTATGCAGTAAGTTTTTTCCCTTTGTTGTAAGAAAATATTTGTGTCTTAGTCCACTGGCGCCATTATAACAAAATATCTGAGACAGGTAATTTATAAACAACAGAAATTAATTGTTCGCAGTTCTGTAGGCTGGTGAGGTGTCTGGTGAGGACCCAGTCTCTGCTTCGAAGATGATGCCTTGAACGTTGCATCCTCCAGAGAGAAGGGATGCTGTGTCCTCCCATAGTGGAAGTGATGGAAAAATATAAGAGCCTAGTTAGTTCTCGGTTCTCACCAGCCTTTTTATAAGGTCATTAATCCCATTCATTAGGGCTCTGCCCTCATGATTTAATCACCTCCTAATGTCCTCCACCTTTTAGTACTATCATATTGGCAATTAAGTTTCAACATATGAATTATGTAGGACACATTCAGATCATAGCAGTTTGTAAGATAAAATACATACATGACACATTTCATCATGTAAGATATTAAGTTTTAATATTTTGAAAAATTTTATTTTAATATTCATTTTTCTACACACATATTTCATAGTATTAAACATATTGGCTATATATTTTTATAATGTGATCAATTTTTATTCATCTTACTAAATATTCTTGAAAACATAATTTTAATAAGTGCTTAATGTTCCGTTGCAACAGATATGCCAAGATTTGTTTATCTGACCCTTATTTTTCAGCTACTTAGGTTGCTGGTCATTTCCACTTTTCTTAAAAGTAACATAGCAAAGAATAACCTTGTCCATACTATTTAATCATGTCTTTAGGGAAGAGTCTCAGAAGACAAATTGCTGGGTCATAGGGTCAAATACACTCTTTATGCATATTGCCAAAATGCTTTCAAAAACCATTAGACTGATTTATAACCTCACCAACAAGAAAGGGCATGCCCACTTCACTGACTCTTCTACTGTATTCACCATTTCTAGGTTGATAGGTAAAATTTACATAAAAATAAATTTAAAATTAAAAACTACTGATTTAGTTATTCTACTAATTCCGTGAGCATATCTTCATATTTCTTGGGCATTTATATTTCTTTTGCGGTAAGCTATTTGTTCTCTTTACTCTTTCCATTTTTCTATAGTGGTATTAGTAGTGTTGCACATTTTTTAAAGAACTTAATTTTTCTAGAGTAGTATTAGCGTCACAGCAAAATTGAGAGGAAGGTACAGAGATTTCTCATATATCCCCTGCCTCCACACACGTACAGCCACCCACGCTATCTACATCTCCCACCAGACGGGTACATTTGTTACAATTGATGAACCTATATTGACAAATCATTATCACCAAAATTCCATAGTTAAGAGTAAAGGTTCATTCTTGGGTGTTGTGCATTCTATGGATTTGGACAAATATATAATGAAATGTATTCACAATTATAGCATCATTACAGAGAATTTCCCTGTCCTAAAATTCCTCTGGACTCTACGTATTCATACATTTCCCTCACAGCCCCTGGAAAACACTGATCTTTTAACTGTCTACATAGTTTTTGCTTTCCCAGAATGTCGTATTGTTGAAATCATATAGTATGTAGATTTTTTCAGATTTGCTTGTTCACTGGTTTCCTCTATGTGTTTTTCATGGCTCAGTAGCTCATTTCTTTTTAGCAATGAATAACATCTTATTGTCTGAATGTTCTACATCTTATTTATCCATTCACCTACTGAAGGACATCTTGGTTGCTTCCAAATTTTGGCAATGATGAATAAAGCTGTCATAAACATCCATGTGCAGGGTTTTGTGTGGACATAATTTTCAACTCCTTTGGTATTTTACATTTTAAAATTTTAAGTTATGTGGTATATATAACAAGCCAAAATAAGCTTAGTTTCAGTTAAGAATTATGGTTTTAAAATCTTCTAAGATTAAAATGATAAAATAAAGCCAACATTCTTCTTTCCACCGAAGAGACTTACATATAATACAAATTCAGAAGTTTTATGTCTCCTAGATTACACAAATCCTGGGTAATAGGAATATGGGATGGGAAGAATTACAAATGGATTATGTAGATACTTACTGATATGGTTTGTCTGTGTCCCCACCCAAATTTCATCTTGTAGTTCCCATAATCCCCCTGTGTGGTGGGAGAGACCCAGTGGGAGATAACTGAATCATGGGGGTGGTTTCCCCATGCTATTCTTGTGATAGCAAGTAAGTTCTCATGAGATCTGATGGTTTTATAAGGGACTTCCCCCTTTGCTTGGCTCTCATTCTTCTCCTTGCTGCCGCCATGTGATGAGGATGTGTTTGCTTCCCCTTCTGCCATGATTGTAAGTTTCCTGAGGCCTCCCCAGCCAGGCTGAACTGTGAGTCAATTAAACCTCTTTCCTTTATGAATTATGCA
This sequence comes from Homo sapiens, assembly GCF_000001405.40. Lineage (NCBI taxonomy): Eukaryota > Metazoa > Chordata > Mammalia > Primates > Hominidae > Homo > Homo sapiens. The sequence goes on from NC_000023.11 coordinate 33,303,846, forward strand.
TTATTGGGTATTTCTTTATAGCAGTGTGAGAATGAACTAATACACTTAATTTTTTAAATGTCTGAATATTTATCATTTCAAATTTATTTAATGTCTTTTGTTTCCTCTCTTAATATAATTTTATCAACAAATTTTTCCATTAAATCAGTGAATCTTCTGAAGTTATTTATTATAAATATGAATTAATTCCTTTCAAATTTATTAATGAATTTTAATATAATTTAATATATGATGTAAAATGATGTTATATTTTAGATTTGCTTGTAACGGTCACCAATATGTAAACAGATTCTCTCTCCAACAATTAGAAATCTAAACTATACTACAAGGCTACAGTAACCAAAACAGCATGGTACTGGTACCAAAACAGAGATACAGATCAATGGAACAGAACAGAGCCCTCAGAAATAATGCTGCATATCTACAACTATCTGATCTTTGACAAACCTGAGAAAAACAAGCAATGGGGAAAGGATTCCCTATTTAATAAATGGTGCTGGGAAAACTGGCTAGCCATATGGAGAAAGCTGAAACTGGATCCCTTCCTCACACCTTATACAAAAATTAATTCAAGATGGATTAAAGACTTAAACGTTAGACCTAAAACCATAAAAACCCTAGAAGAAAACCTAGGCATTACCATTCAGGACATAGGCATAGGCAAGGACTTCATGTCTAAAACACCAAAAGCAATGGCAACAAAAGCCAAAATTGACAAATGGGATCTCATCAAACTAAAGAGCTTCTGCACAGCAAAAGAAACTACCATCAGAGTGAACAGGCAACCTACAAAATGGGAGAAAATTTTCGCAACCTACTCATCTGACAAAGGGCTAATATCCAGAATCTACAATGAACTCAAACAAATTTACAAGAAAAAAACAAACAACCCCATCAAAAAGTGGGCGAAGGACATGAACAGACACTTCTCAAAAGAAGACATTTATGCAGCCAAAAGACACATGAAAAAATGCTCATCATCACTGGCCATCAGAGAAATGCAAATCAAAACCACAATGAGATACCATCTCACACCAGTTAGAATGGCGATCATTAAAAAGTCAGGAAACAACAGGTGCTGGAGAGGATGTGGAGAAATAGGAACACTTTTACACTGTTGGCGGGACTGTAAACTAGTTCAACCATTGTGGAAGTCAGTGTGGCGATTCCTCAGGGATCTAGAACTAGAAATACCATTTGACACAGCCATCCCATTACTGGGTATATACCCAAAGGACTATAAATCATGCTGCTATAAAGACACATGCACACGTATGTTCATTGCGGCACTATTCACAATAGCAAAGACTTGGAACCAACCCAAATGTCCAACAATGATAGACTGGATTAAGAAAATGTGGCACATATACACCATGGAATACTATGCAGCCATAAAAAATGATGAGTTCATGTCCTTTGTAGGGACATGGATGAAATTGGAAATCATCATTCTCAGCAAACCATTGCAAGGACAAAAAACCAAACACCGCATGTTCTCACTCATAGGTGGGAACTGAACAATGAGAACACATGGACGCAGGAAGGGGAACATCACACTCCGGGGACTGTTGTGGGGTGGGGGGAGGGGGGAGGGATAGCATTAGGAGATATACCTAATGCTAAATGACGAGTTAATGGGTGCAGCACACCAGCATGGCACATGTATACATACGTAACTAACCTGCACATTGTGCACATGTACCCTAAAACTTAGAGTATAATAATAATAAAATTTAAAAAAAATGCCAAATATAACTTCAAAAAAAAAAAAAAGAAATCTATACCTAATTTAGGAGACAAAACAAACTAATGTCAGAAGTTTGTTTGCACACTTCTGTAATTAACTACAAACATATATTCAAGAGTATTCTCTTATCATTTCATTCTATGTTATAAAAAACCTTCAGTCTCATAAGTCACATTATAGAGCATTACGTTTTCCTCCCATGGTGAAAAGGATTAGTTCTTAGCAATAACTTAAGAACACATCTTTTGTCAGTGTCTCTGAGGGATAAATATTTCCTGGTTGAGTGTTTATGCACAGAGGAAAAATTACTGAAGTCTGTGCCCAAATATAGCTTCTGTAAACTTGAAAAATATAAAAGAGAATTTAGTGAGGAAAGGAGACAGAGAGTAGCTCCTTTTGGACTATAATACAAACACATTTTCTAAGAACTAGGCCTTGGGGATCATAATCAACTAGCCTGAGCCACACACAATGGATAGGTATTTCTGACTGGCACTTTTTAGCTGTAAGGCATGACATGAAATTGCAATGAGAGAGCTACAAAAAGGCCATAGAGACAAGTATCCAGCTTAACCTTTCTCCCTATGCAGTTGTCTTCTTTACCACAGTGATGCTGGCTGGTCAATTTAGCTCCTGCTTGAATACTTACTATGAAAAGAAACTCTTGCTTTATGTTACATGTGCATCATTCATTTAGACAAATTTTTAATGCATTTACTTATTGAAGTCTAAAGGTACACAAATGAAGAAGATGTGGTTCCTGATCTTGCAGTTTCCAGTTTATAACAAGGAACAGAAATATACATGATTTAATATAACGTATGGTCATAGTAGAGCTGAAAATCTGAAGCTTTGGCTAAAATGAGGAAGGAGTACCTAAATGGGCCTGGTATTTGCTAAATGTATAGAGGGAACAACATTTAATTGAGGAAATAAGTAGGAGATTTCCACTGATAGAATGGTAGAAGTAGGGCTGTGATGGGTGTGGGGGACATGGAGGGGAAAGGCAAATGGCACAGAGGCTTGAAAACTCCTGGCATGTTTGGGTGAGAGGTGAGAGATTCTATGTGGCTACATCACAGCAATATAAATGTCATGTTGGAAAGTGAGTCTGGAGAAGAAAATTGGGGCAAACAATCCAAAGTCTCAATTAGTACAAAGCCATGGGGACCCAGACTCTGTCTCTGTAATACTGAGGACAGATGCAGCATAGAGTAGATATTACAACAAGATACTATGGCGCTACCCTGCCTAAGTTTCAATGTGCTCTCAAATAGTTGGTGACTTTGGACAAGTTGTTTATCCCCACCCTGACTAATACATGCTCTATGCCTCAGTTTACTTATCTGCAAAATGAGGATATTAATATTTAGCTCATTGGATTGTTTTGAGGAGTATTGGACAAAATTCTTTTAAAGTATGTAAAATTATATCCTTTTAATAACAACATTGATTAAATAGATTCCAAGTATGTATTGGAGCAGAGAGAGTCCAGATGATGATCCCTGAAATCCAGCAGTGGCCAAAAATAAAAGAGGAGAGAAGAATGCATGATCATTGCAACTCGAGACAGATTTAGCTATTAGAAAGTTCTTTCTTATATTACACCTAAATTTGCTCTCCTTCATGCAAAGAATTCAATTTCTACTGGCTGGCCCTATTTCTACCTTCCACCTAATAGACTTACATATAATAAAAATTCAGATGTTATATTTTTCCCAGATTATATCTTTTTTAATTTTGTAAAAATAAATAAATAAATAAAAGAGTTTGACATTTCACTCACGAGTCATCCTTAGAAAGAGTAAAAGATCAGAGGCTGGGCACGGTGGCTCACGCCTGTAATCCCAGAACTTTGGGAGGCCAAGGCGGGCGGATCACCTGAGGTCAGGAGTTCGAGACCATCCTGGCTAACACAGTGAAACCCCGTCTCTACTAAAAATACAAAAAATTAGCTGGGTGTCGTGGCATACGCCTGTAGTCCCAGCTACTTGGGAGGCTGAGGCAGGAGAATCACTTGAACCCGGGAGGCAGAAGTTACAGTGAGCCATGCGCCACTGCACTCCGGCCTGGGTGACAGAGCGAGACTCCATCTCAGAAAAAATATAAATATATAGAAATAAAGATCAGAAAGGCCCATTGTAAGTACTAATGGTTCCAGTGAGATACAGCAGGCAGCACAGTAAGCAGCGCCTCTATTGTTAGGGTAGAAAGCAGTCACAGGCAGAAATTCAATAAAAATAAGAAGAAAAATATTTTAGAGTCCCCAAATCCTACCTCCTTCAAAAGTTACTCATCCAAAATCCTTTTTAAACTGTAACATTCTGTACAGACACCAGTTTTTCAAATATAATTGCTAAGATGTGAGGCATAAACATAAATCTAAATTTCATTGAGTACCACGTAATGTTCAGCTATTATCATACTTGGAAACACATGGATAAAATGAATGTTGAAATAGTCATGACTCTGGTATGTCTACCAATGCGCAGTTGATTTATACTGTCATTTATTGTGAATGTGCCATAAATGACAAGCTACTTATGACATTGAATTGAACCATTCTTTTTGGAAGTCTCTATGCCAGACATTGTTCTAAAGGCTAAGAGTTTAAAAGATTCAAAAACACAATAGTTCCCTAGTTTGCCTTCCTTCCTACATGTCCTTGCCTGCTCTCCTAACTCCTACCCCAGTCTTTGCCCAACTTTGGCATTTTCCCAAGAAAGATTGCATTCCAAGAATCACAGTGGTATTTGGAAATATTTTGAGATTTCGAAATAAATAATTCTTCCTTTTAAAACAAATAATTTTTCTGAGAATCAATTAATCGTCTAACTTTAAATAAAGTAAAAATGGATAGGAATTAAACTCCAATATATTGAGGCAAACAGTCTTTATTTTGAAAATCCTTTTTAAAGGTTTCCACAAATAACTCTTTAAAGGAAAGGGCTAATATTTCCTTCAGGAAAATTTACAACAATCTGTTAACCAAACTAGATCTTCAAGCCCCTTACCAATTCCTCTCCCCAATTGAGTGTTTTCCAAAGGTCCAATTTGGAATTCCTTTTCTTTTTCTTTTTTTCCTTTCTGTAAAGGGTGAGCATACTTAGGAAATTAGTTAAAATTACTCCATTGAATGCTCTGTTGTTCCTTAGTATTGAGGGAAGGTTCAACATATGTTAATTTTGGGAATTTTTTTAGATACTGCAAGACTATCACATGTAGCTTAGTCTCACAGCAAGGATATCCACACAACGTGCTATTAGCAAGTAGGATGCCAGCCGCCACAGACCAGTATTAGCCTAATAGGATGAAAGATATTTTGATATAAACAAACATGCGAGACCACACAGTCAGTAAACATTTTATAGACAAAAGGAGAACTCTAATGACATTCATTTGGCCTTTGGAGAGGATGCATTCGGGGCATTTTTCATGTTATAAAGGATAATTGAATCCAAACAGTGTTCATATGGGAACACTAAAGCTCTAACAGTACATAACAGAGCCAAGTCAGACTTTTTAATATTTATATGTTCTTTTAGGGAAATTGTTCTGGTTCCTGCAGATGATTAATAATACCTGCTGCATTTGCATAATTCACGGTGTTAAATAATTAACAGGATTATAATTATATTCATAATTCTTTATCAATTGAAGTTAATAACTTTGGTCTGCTCTAGCGCGCTATGTTATTGAACTAAGATCTGTACTTCAAAATAATGATTCTAGTTAATATTAGCAACACATATTACATATCTAGCCCTTTCTTTATATTCCCCAGTCAGCTTTGACAAATTGAGTATATGGTTTAAGTCCCTTAATATTCAGTGAGAAGAAATGCATTTTAAAATCTGGAAATCTGTCTGTATTTAAACATAAATATAAATAAATAAATGAACAAATAAATAAATAAAGAGCTTTATATCTATACTGAGGTGTATACCATATCTATCTTTATATATATAGATATGTGATATTTATTTTTACTGCAAAGAGATAGTAAACTTTTTATTTTAGAATAGGTTACAAGTAGGAAACAAATATACTTAAAAAATAATAAAGGTGTACAAGATGCAACCATTTGCATAAAATCTACCAGTAGGTGGGTCACTCATTGGCCTTTTGTGAAGAGATATATTTACTTCAGGACCTGACCAATTAGCCTAGATGAATATTATATTTTTATTACAAGTATGTGGTGTGATTATATTATTATTACAAAATTATAACAAAAAAAGTAATGTAGAAGTACTATATATAGGAGGCCTTCAGCTTGTATCCCTTACTCATACTTCCATCAAAAATGAAGCATAGAAGTATTTGGAGTATTGATTTATTTTAGTCATTCATTAGCTATCATGGTCTTATCCATGTCTGAAAATCAAATGCAAGATGTACTTTAGTGAAGAATGCAATAAAAATTAATATCTGTGCTTGTGGGGTAACAAAGTTAAAACCAAGGCACCTTTTTCTACTGAAAAGGTGTATGAATTAAAATAACAACAACAAAAAACTACTATATAATTCAGTCTCCATTCAAATAACTTATAAAATAGCTTGGATGTTTTCTTGAAACATCAATATTATTAAGAAGATATTCCAATACAGAAATAATTTATTCTGTATAAACCGTACTTAAAAATGCATGGAGCCTATTGTAGCTGCCTAATGGTTTTGTAATATTTTTGTTGAAGTGGCTTAAGTACAAAGGTTTAATTGCTTATTATAAAAGACTAAATATTTTATATCAATGAATTAAATTTAAAAAATATCTGCCATTACCACAATAGTCCAGTGGGTTGCAGATAATCTGAGTCAATTTAACTCTCTTATCAAGAGATTCTGCCCAGAAAATTAGCAACCATTATTATGTTCTGAAAGAACACAAAAGGTCTATAATAACATTGAACCAATTATTAAATGTATATTTTTCTTCTAAGAGAAGTTCGCTTCTTTAAAATTTGGATTACAATATAGAGAATATCACCTAAATTATTCATTTTAATTAAGTCATTTCCTGATTTTGTCTTAGCAGATACAGTCAATTAAGAAATTATCCATATTAGCCTTGCATCATAAGTAAGCCCTAATTCTGCAAAAATTGAGTATTGTTTCATTTCCTGATTCTAAATTTGCAAGCCACAGAAAGTCAGATCAAAAATAAAGATTACGAGTCTAGGCTTATGATGTTAATTTAGTGGATATTTTAATTTAAAGATCTCAAGATGTCCCTAAAACATTCTAAAATTTTTATAGCTGTAATGTTGACAATATCTGGCATGGGATTTGAAGAGATTAATGGCAAGAAGAGGGATTTTTATGTTGTTTCATGCACCAGAGAAAATGAAGCTAAAGGGATTTTGAAAACAAGAATGAATCGAGAGTTTTGCTGTTCTAAGTTATGTAAAGATATCATGGACTTTATATCCCAGTTCAATGTAGAACTTCATAATTTTATAAATATACATATATACATAAATATCTAACACATATACATATACTTAATATAATTCATGCATATATATGCATATATACATACATACTTCATACTGTATATACCTACTTTAATATATAGATACACATATGTATGCATACACACATACACACACTTAACTATAATATATATATACATATGCTTAATATAATTCATGCATATATATGCATATATACATACCTTCATATTGCATATACATACTTTAATATATAGATACACACATATGTATGCATACACACAGACAGACACTTATCTATAATATATATACACCTGTCTGTTCTTACCACAGATATATTCCTAGGAGGGTGGTAGTTAAGGTACTAAAGTAGGGTCATGTAAAATGAGATTTTAGTAAATTCAGAAAGACTTTGGAAATAATCTACCTTATTTACATAAAAAATAATATGGTGAAATAGCAAACAAAATGATCGTATGTCTGTTAAACCAAATATTGTATTGACATTACTTACGAATACTAAAGTCTGAATTTTTTTCTTGTTTTTTGCTGCTGTGTTCATAATGTTATGATACACGATGATCTAGTACAAGGAATTTCTTGAAAGCATATTTCAAGAAAATAGAGGTAAAGGGCTCTATTTTATCAATGCCATTAGTTACTGGCCACCTGCTCTTATGCGTAGGGTTCTGTTTAGGATATAGACATATAAATAACAAAAATATAAATACATAAAAAAGCCATTTGCCAAGTGCCAAATGGTGCAGGGAGTTGGAAGTCGGAGATTTTATCATTACCATGGCTAGCATAATAAAAACAGAAAGAAAATAATAAGGAGATACAAAACAGATGGGCAAGAAAAAGAATTTTCAAGAAATGTGAAGGGAAATAGTAAAGAGAAAGACTATTTAAGATGAAAAATGTTAATATGAGAAAATCAAATGATGAAAAATAGCAAGTTTTTTTTTTTAGCAAGAGAATTTATTCTTCATAGAACCTGTATGACATTTATTTAAGAAACACAGAATGGTGTCATTTCAATTTCATGACATTCCTTGTACTGGTGGTACAATTTTTTATACACAGGAATAAAAAAGGAATAAAAAAGTAAAAGGATAAATAACATAGTTGAGTCCTGAGAAAACACGGGTTTGAACTGCATGGGTCCACTTACATGCCATTTTTTTCAACCAGACTCAGATCAAAAATACAGTATTCGCAGAATGTGAAACCTACGTATATAGAGGGCCAATTTTGCCTGTGTGCGGGTTCTGCAGAGTTGGCTGTGAAATGTGAGTATGTTCAGATTTTGGTATACATGAGAGTACTGGAACCAATACCACGTGCATGCTGAGGGACAACTGTATATAGTTGGGAGCTGTACAAATATATAACTTTACTCATGTCTTAGAACCCAAATACAGCTAAATAATACACCTGCATAACTTGAATGTCGTTCTGGGTTTTTAGTACTGTTGGAAAGTGTAGACCCTACACTATGCAAGTGGGTTGGATGAAGGATGACAATGTGCAGTCAAGTCTTGTTATTCACTGTGTTTCTATAAAGTCACTGTGAACACTGAATTAGTGAATACTGAAGCATTCCTCCCAGGAGAAATACAATGATAGATTTCTGGGAGCCTCTGCTCATAACATTTTTGTGAACCAGCAATGTATAATCCCATTTTGCCTGTTTTTCTGTTTAAAAACATCTTATTGAATATATATTATTGATCCATTAACATTCAATACACAGCCAACAGCACTGTAACTCAAGCCTGAAGGAAACTTACCTAAGGAACCTATTTTCTTTCTAAGGTACTTCACAGCCTTCTTAAGCTTAGGAACACTAGACAGAAATTCACCATCATGCTTGGGGCCATTTAAAGCAGCAAAATCACCAAGAAAAAGCATAAAAATATGAAAAACATAGCATTAAATACACCGCTGAAAGGACACTTGTTTACCGTATGAGACCTGAAGCAAGAATGCAGAGTGTTCCTTTTTTGATCTCAGCTGGGAACATGTGTGGTGGGTGACTTAAATTTTTCACCACTCTATGCATACACACAAATGGCTGTGAAAATGCTATGAGCATTGATTTTAGGGATACAAATTAAATTTAGCAAGTTTTGAGAACTCCCAAACACAGAATGTGTGAATAATGAGAACCATCTGTACAAAGTTTCAATCAATATACTGCTTGATTAGGCCCTTTTTATAAAGCACTATACTGTTTTTAGTTGCAAATGGTTAAATCCTTTCATCCCATTTGGTTATGGTGTTTGTACAGAAAACTAAATTACAGACATGTGTATTGTTGACTTTCTCTAATTGCCCTTTTGAATGATCTGAGCAGAGATCAACTGCTGGACCAAATTGTACGTCGAGATTATAATATCCAGGTTTTGTCAGGCACTATGGTTAAGAAGTATTGTCAGTTAAGATGTACTGCAATTTTAAGCAAAAGATTTTTTTACATGCTCAATCTACTAAGTAACCAGGAGAAGACAAATGTACAAGATATTTCCAAGAGCATTCTTGTTACCAACTGAAGAACTGTATTAATAATTCAGTCCTATACAGTGCTACTTAGAACTTCAGTGTCTTCTTGTTAAGCGAAGTGGATGTAAAAAAAAAAAAAATGCAAAGGAATGTCATAAATGCAGTGAATACAAAGCTGAATTTCTAAAAAGTGGAGCTTGCAAAGGGACTGTAGGTGCAATTTAGTTTGAAATAGGTATGAAATCAAAATTTTAATAACAAGTGTCACTTTGTATACCAAAACCTGTTCATCAATATAATCAAACACCTAGATATCCATCTGCCTTGATGATGTTTACCATGAATTTCATAATCCCAAGTCAAACCCAGTGTATTCTACTCACATATTTGTGAGCTGTCATTAAAGGAAGCTAGAACAGAATGTAGTATGTCATATATATGTGTGTGTGTGTGTGTGTAATGTGAGAATGTGCATTTATGCAACTGAGTGTGTGTTTGTGTGCCTTGAGGTTAAGATGTACAAGAAGTAAGCATTTGGAAAGTTTGCTTTGACATTACACACGCACACACACACACACACAACCCCCATTTATGTATATATCTACACAAACATAGACATAATAATTATATTAAACTCTACTAGTTTCCTATTGCTCATATAATAAATTACCATGAACTTAGTGATTTAAATGTACATATATTTTTTATCTTTTATTTTTTTGAGACAGAGTCTCAGTCACTCTGTCGCCCAGGCTGGAGTGTGGTGGCACGATCTCGGCTCACTGCAACCTCTATCTCCCAGGCCCAAGCAATTCTGATGCCTCAGCTTCCCAAGTCGCTGGGACTACAGGCGTGCATCACCACCCCAAGCAAATTTTTGTATTTTTAGTAGAGATGGGCTTTTACCATTTTGGCCAGGCAGGTCTCAAACTCCTGACCTCATGTGATCCGTCCACCTTGGCCTCGCAAAGTGTTGGGATTACATGCGTGATCCACTGTGCCCAGCCTGTTTTTTTTTTGTTTTTTTTTTTTTTTTTATCTTTCTTAGAGTTCTGGACTAAAACCAAGGTGTCAATGGGGCGCTGTTCATTCTGGAGACTCTAGGGGAGAATCCATTTCCTAGCTTCTAGAGGCTGCCTACATTCCTTGATTCATGGCCCCTTTCCTCCATTTTCAAAGCAAGCAGTATAGCATCTTCCAGTCTACATCACATTACTCTGACACACTGCTTTTCATTCCAACATCTCCTTTGACTCCTTGAAGGATTTTTTTCTTCCTTTTTTTTGATACGGAGTTTCACTCTTGTTGCCCAGGCTGGAGTGCAATGGCGTGATCTTGGCTCACTACAACTTCCGCCTCCTGGGTTCAAGCAATTCTCCTGCCTCAGCCTCCCAAGTAGCTGGGATTACAGGCATGCACCACCATGCCTGGCTAATTTTGTATTTTGTAGTAGAGAAGGGGTTTCACCATGTTGGCCAAGCTGGTCTTGAACTCCTGACCTCAGGTGATCCACCCGCCTCAGCCTCCCAAAGTGCTGGGATTACAGGCATGAGCCACCGCACCTAGCCACCTTGAAGGATCTTTGTGTGTTTGTGCTTATTTTTAATTGGTTCCATCCACATAATCCAGGATAATCTTACCATCTCAAAGTCCCTAATTTAATCAAATCTGCAAAGTAAACTTTGCCTTTTTATGGTAAAATATTAACTTAACGGGACTGGGTTGTTCAAACTCTGTACATTCCAAAGAAATATCTGGCTCTTGACTGGCTTCTGGGCAATACCAGATAGTTTATTTTAATAATGTATGGTGCAGCTTTTAGGTTACACTGTATCAGTTTGAACTCTGGAGAGGCTGGAGATGACTAAAGTCAGCCATGTGAGTGTTCCATGCCTACTACAAACTCCAATACAATTCTAGACACCAAGACTTAGGCAACTTTTCGTTGGCAATACGATGTGTGTGTTGTCACACATCACTGTTGGGATAATTAAATGCTGTCCAGATGACTTCATGAGGAGAGGAAAACTGGAAGGTGGCACCTGGTCTTTCCTGAACCCGGTTGTATGCAACTTTTTTCTTTGTTCACTTCAGTCTTTATCTTTTTGTTGTAATAAACTGTAATCATGAGTGTAACTGCTTTTAAGAATTATATGAGTCCTCCTAAGGAATAATTGAACCTGAGAGTAGACTTGAGGACTCCTAAATTTCGCCATATAAGGCAACATATTCATAGCTTCCTAAGATTAGAACATGTATGTCTTTGGGGGATCATTACTATGCCTACAACAGTACATAAAATACATGACTCTTGTGTAGAAACTTCTTCAATTTATTTGACCAGAGGACTAGTTTTTTTTTTAATATTGTCAAAAAAGCTTGGAAACATATGTTCCTTTATTGAGTCAAGATTCAGTTTTCTTAAGAGATTTTTATCAAATGTTTTGCAATATACCTCTTGAAAACTACCCTTTCCTATATGTAGAATAAAAATTAAAAGCACAATTAAAAGCAAAAACCTGTCATATTACTTTCCATGTTTGTTATCTAGTAAATGACTCTGTAATCAACTATTTCCTAGCAATAAACACTGAAAAACATACTCAACTTTCATCTAAGAGTACAAGAAGTAATCAAGGGAATGGGAAAACTCAATTAGCTACCAGAGACTGTAAAACATCTGTTCTGAAAACCAAACTCCAACAATTCAATATCAATATCTTTAAAGGGATAAAGATTATTAATGTAAAATTGAACTAGGAAAGATGAAAAACCCCTGCACTAATTCTCAATTATATTGGGTTTAAAGGAAAGGCAGGAATAAATCATATATACCCATAGATGGAAATAATCCAGGTATACATACACACACACATACATATATGAAAAATCTATAAGCGTTAGGTTTTATATTAGTATCCATGATCTATTTTGAGTTAATGTTTGAATAAAGTATGAGGTGTTCAGGTCAAGTTTATTTCTCTGCCTATGTGTATCCAAATACCCTAGCATCATTTGTTGAAAATGATAGTTTCCTTCATTGAATTGCTTTTACACCTTTGCAAAGAATCAGTTTGGCATAATAATTTCCTTCTATTTCTGGGTTCTGTATTTTATTACATTGCTCCATGTTTCTGTCTCACCACCAATATCACATTGTCTTCATTACTGTAGCTATATACTAAGGTCTTCATGTTGAGTAGAGCAATTCCTCCCACATTAATCGTTTTCAGTCATGAAATCTATAGATCGATTTGGGAAGAATTGACATCTTTACTATGCTGAGTCTTCCAATCCATGAATGCAATATATCCCTGAAATTATTTAGGTCTTGATTTCTTTTATCAGCATTTTGTAATTTTCAGGATATATATCTCATATATATATTGTTAATATCTTACTATTTCATTTTTGGGGAATAATAGTAAATGCTATTTTTTTCTTTTTTCTTTTTGTGTTTTTAATTCTAAATTTTTAAAAAGAAATTTTAAGAATATCTAAAATTTCAAACGCCAAGTTCCTTCTAGCAATAATGGGAAAAATTAACGTTTATTTTGAAGGTTTTTTTTCTTATCTGACAAGTGATGTTGAATCTCACTTACACAATTAAAAAGAAACAATACACAATAACTATTACAACAAAATGAACAGACTTTGGTACTGGTTTGAAGAGATTAAGAGCTTAAATGGTCTTAAAGAGATTATATTGCTCATTTGCCAGAATCCATGCTTTCAAAGAAGGCTGACCACAGGCAGCCTTTGGAAATTAATTATTAAGTGTATATTATTATATATAAAACCTTTTCATGCTGCAAACACTACAATATATTTCTGCAATATCAACTAAGAATTTTATTCTTTTTCTATGCTTACATTTTAGAAAATAACAGTGTTTTAAGTCAACAACATACATGGATGGTAATATTTATGCTAAATATGGCATAACAACCAAATAACTCCTTTTATTTAGATTCCCATATACTATAAAAACTTACAATGCATCTACAATTTAATAAAGTATGTGTTATCAAACAATACTATAAAATGAATAATTGTAGTAGAAACCAAGGTTTTACCCCCCTCTTTTTGAGAATTATGCTTTACATCAGTCCTCCTTCCATTAGTCTGTTAGTTAAAAAGCATATTGTCACTGCAAAATTAATTGTAATGTTTCCTATGCAGACATAGTGCTTAATAGAGCCCACTGTCTCAATAGAAAAGGAATCTGTCTAGTTTCAGCCAAATTTATTTAGAGTCAGATAAATTTGATTAAACATAAAACAAGTATCCATATTGAACACCTCAGTTACCTAATCCTTTACAGTCTAGTCCATTATTAACAGTATTAAGATCATAAGGGATTAATAAAGTTTCTACAGAAGGGAACATTTTCCCTTGTCTGATTTCAGTAAAGGAGCATATAGCTTTGATAAAATGAAATCATCATCATCATTTTCTAAAATATTCTTTATGTTTTATGTTTCTTGGGCTTACTGTGCTGATTAAGTGGAGTGATAACATATTGCACTGGTACCTTATCACTCCACTTAATCAATACAGTAATAGAGCTATTAGTTTGAATCCTAAAAACTTATCATTTTTTGGTCAAAATGGACCAATATCAGCAAATTCATATGATTCAATCTATGTATCTATCTTAGGTATATATGGAGTGGCGTATGAATAAACAGATATATATATGATTTGATGAGTTAAGAATAATTGGGTCCAGAGAAATAAAGTTCTCTAGGCACCACTGTTCTACTGAAACAATTAATTTGTTTTGATCTTTATATACATGTTCGATTAGATGATTTAAAATTTTAAAGTATTAAAAGTTTAAAAACTAGTTTTAAAAGTTTTTTTAAAATGATGTTTACACATTTAATTACTCAGTGTATTTTTTTTTTTTTTCGAGACAGAGTCTTGCTCTGTCACCCAGGGTGAAGTGCAGTGACACCATTTCCGCTCACTGCAACCCCCACCTCCCAGGTTCGAGTGATTCTCCAGCCTCAGCCACCCTAAAGTGTGCCACCATGCCCAGCAAAATTTTTTTTTTGTTTGTTTGTATTTCTTAGTAGAGACAGGGTTTCACCATGTTGGCCAAGCTGGTCTCGAACTCCTGACCTCAAATGATCCACCTGCCTCAGCCTCCCAAAGTGCTGGGGTTACAGGCATGAGTCACCTTGCCTGGCCTACTTCCTCAGTCTTACTGAGTATTTTCCCCTGAGAATTAGATAATTGGCCTTACCACATTCCAAAATCCAGTGATTCTCTTCTTAACATGCTCATGTTATATCCCACACAACAGTACTAATACATTATTCTAATTTTGCTTGCAATGTTGCTATAGTATGAATATTTGTGTTCCTCCAAAATTTAAATGTTGAAAGCTAATCCCCAAGAGGTTGGTATTAGGGGGTGAGGTCTTTAGGTTGTGATTAGGTTATGAGTACAGAGCCTTCTTGTTTGGGATTAGTACCCTTATAAAAGAGACCCTAGAGAGCCAGCTCGCCTCTTCATCATATAAGGACACAGCAACAAGGTACCATCTAGTAGCTAGGAAACGGTCTGTCATCAGGCACAGAGTGTGCCTTCATCTTGATCTTGGACTTCCCAGCCTCCAGAACTTTGAGCAATGAATCTCTGTTGTTTCTACGCCACCCAGTTTATTATTTTTTTAGTTTACGCCACCCAGTTTATTATTTATTTTTTTTTATAGAAGCCCAAATGGATGAAGAATGATAGTTATTTCATAGTGAAGAATATAAAAATAATCAGCATCACTACATCCATAATCAGAGAAGGGAGGGGTGGGATAATGAACAGAGTCATAAGTATAATGTATTTAGAAATCTGGGATGAAATCCCATAAACTGAATTGAGTTGAGTGCCCTCCTCCCCCATGATGAGTGTGTATGAAAATGCACTAGAGAGACAGAAATGAAAAATCAGGGCCATCCTCACCATGCTCTGAACTCCTATGAGATTCACTTGTCATCTTTCTTTTAAAGATCTTATCGTGTATTATCTGATATTACAGTTACCCATTATGAGGAATTATCATAAGCATAACCTTTATCATCATTATCACCTTTACTATCATCGTCATAGACAGATGTAAATCTAGCAGAATGCAAATATAAGAAAATGGGACCTGACTCACGTAAGAAGACTTTGAAAGTTTTTCTTCTATCAAAATCTGACAAGTTGGCTTAAAAGGGAAGATGTGTTCATAACAGTTTCTTTCATTTTTTCCATTTCCATGGCTAATTACATTGTAATACTCCATTAAGGTAAGGATATAGCATTGTTTGTGGTGAAATAGACTCTCCATGAGCAATAATTTAGATTGAAAAAGGTAAAATATATATATTTCCACAGTTTACTTTATGCAAATGGAGTGAGTTGTAATTTTTGGTGAGTGGGTGAGAGGTCAGTTAGATGACTGTATGGAATTTAAAAATATCCAATTACATATATGGCAGCATCAGAAGTCTCTTTAGCAACTCTCACAATATTGTATAGAGATAAAAGCAGTCAGACAGGGCAATAATCAGAGCCATATTACTCATTTATAAAATCTCAATGAAAATTTTCTCTGAATTAAGCGTTAACAAAGAAGGATGAGGCTCAATTGTGATGGTACGACAGACACCAAATGCCAATGGTACAATACGTTTAGTACAATTGCCATACTTCTATGTGATGTTTTGTTTTTATCATGATGTTGGAGCAATAGCCACAGGGACAGAAGTAAGCGGGTTAGAGGGTAAAAGTTGAATGAATATGTACAGGTATACCTTGGAGATACTGCAGGTTCAGTTCCAGATCACCAAAATAAAGTGAGTCACATGAATTATTCGGTTTCCCAGTGTATATAAAAGTTATATTTACATTATTTTGTAGCCTAAGTGTGCAAAGCATTATGTTAAAAAATGTACATACCTTAACAAAAACATAATTTATTGCTAAAAAAGCTAGCAATCATCTGAGCCTTTAGTGAGTTGTAATCTTTTTGCTAGTGGAGGCTCTTGCCTCAATGTGGATGGCTGCTGATTGATCAGGGTGGGGTTGCTGAAGGTGGGAGTGACTGTGACAACTTTGTAAAATAAGACAACAATGAATTTTGCTGCATCAATTGACTCTTTCTTTCACAAAACATTTCTTTGTAGCATGTGCTGCTGTTTGATAGCACTTTACTCACAGTAGAACTTCTTTCAAAATTGGAGTCAGTCTTCTCAAATTCTGCCACTACTTTATCAGCTAAGTATGTGTAATATTCTAAATCCTTTGTTGTCATCTCAACAATGTTCTCAGCATCTTCACCAGAAGTAAATTTTATCTCAAGAAAGCACTTTCTTTGCTCATCCATCAGATGCAATTCCTCATCCATTCACGCTTTATTATGAGATTTTAGGAATTCAGCAACATCTTCAGGCTCCACTTCTCATTTTAATTCTCTTGCTATTGTCACCATATCTCCAGTGACTTCTTCCAGTGACAACTTGAGCTCCTTAAAGTCATCCATGAGGGTTGAAATCAGCTTCTTCTAAACTCCTGTTAAATGTGATATTTTGACCTCCTCCGATGAATCATGAATGTTATTAATGGCATCTAGAATGGTGAATTCCTTACAGAAGGCTTTCAATTTCCTTTGCTCATATCCATCAGAAGATTTATTATTTACAGCAGCTATAACCTTACTAAATGTATTTCTTAAATAATGAGACATAAATGTTGAACTTACTCTTTGACCCATGGGCTACAGAATGGATGTTATATTAGCAGGTATGAAAACAACATGAGTCTCCTTGTACATCTCCAAATGAGCTCTTGGATGACCAGCTACATTATTAATGAGCAGTAATATTTTTGAAAAAAAAAATATATTTTTCTGAGCACAAGGTCTCAACCCCGGGCTTAAAATATTCAGTAAATCATGCTGTAAACAGATGTGCTCTCATCCAGGCTTTATTGTTACTTTTATAGAGCAAAGGCTAAGTCTATTTAGCATAATTCTTAAGGGCCCTAGGATTTTCAGAATGGTAAATGAGCATTGCTTCAACTTAAAGTCACCAGCTGCATTAGACTCTAGCAAAAGAATCACCCTGTCCTTTGAAGCTTTGAAGCCAGGCATTGACTTCTCCTTTCTAGCTATGAAAATCCTAGATGGCATCTTCTTCAAATAGAAGGCTATTTCATCTACATAAAAAATCTGTCATTTAGTATAACCACTTTTATCAATGATCTTAGCTAGAACTTCTGGATAACTTGCTGCAGCTTCTCCAACTGCACTTGCTGCCTCACCTTGCACTTTTATGTTTGGAGGTGGCTTCTTTCCTTAAACTTCATAAACCAACTTCTGCTAGCTTCCAACTTTTCTTCTGCAGCTTCCTTACCTCTCAGCCTTCGTAGAATTGAAGAGAGTTGGGATCTTCCTCTGGATTAGCTCTTGGTTAAGGGAATATTGTGGCTGGTTTGATCTGTCTAGACCATTTAAATTTTATCCATATCAGCAGTAAGACTGCTTTGCTTTCTTTTCATTCATGTGTGCATGGGGGTAACACTTTTAATTTCCTTCAATAATTTTTCCTTTGCATTCACACCTTGACTAACTGTCTGGTGCAAGACGCCTAGATTTCAGCCTAACTCAGCTTTTGACATGCCCTCCTCACTAAACATAATCATCTCTAGCTTTTCATTTAAGATGAGACATGTGAGACTCTTCCTTTCACTTGAACACTTAGAGACCACTGTGGGGTTGTTAACTGGCTTCATTTCAATATTGGTTTGTCTCAGAATAGAAAGGTCCAAGGAGAGGGAGACAGATGTGGGGGGGTGGGGGTGGCCGGTTGGTAGAGCACTCAGAACACACACAACATTGATTAAGTTTGTTATTTCATATGGGCATGACTCATGTTGCCCCCAAAAATGACAATAGTAACTTCAAAGATCATTGATCATAGATCATAGATCTCCATATATTCTTTCAGTGTGGCTTTTGTACTCTAACCAGTGTCAGCTTGTTGAGGGCAGAAATCATTTCTGATTAATCTTTCTATGCTTTCAGTGTTACTAAGTGAATGATATTTGAACTGCAAAAATGTGATGAAATGTGAAGATATGACAGTGAGTCAAGAAAGAAGATACCTCTGGGCTTTATTCATGAAACAGCAGAGATATAAATAGCTTTAACATATAAATTGGTTGAAAGTAAGTTAAAGCAAAATCCCTATGCTAAAGAGTTATAATACTGTCTATTGTGATGTAAATATGATAGTTGAATTCATAAGAAATTTTTCAATGGCAAAATGAGGCTTGGTGATGAGATTATCATCTCTAAGAAAATTCAGTCTTAAGTATTACTTTATGTCGTTTTTATTCTCCCTGAAAGTGGCCTCAAACATTCTATCTTCATCAACATTATCCTTACCACAGTGCTACTTACACATTTTCCCAATTTATCACCAGCTGTCATGCAAAACCCAGAACAAAGCCACTTAGCCAAAGCACATGTTTGACTATGAATTAGACTTCTTCTTTTTAAAACAAAGGTATTATTTAAACCTATTGATGCTGGCTTCCATCTTAAGCCCATAACTGGCAACCAACAGGTTAGAAAATAAAATTTCCTAATTAATTGATTAGGAAATTAACCAATTTTTGTTACATCTAATACTGGTTGGATGTATTGTTACATCCAATACTGTTTGTGAAAACTTGTGCTGTTGGACTTGTTGTGCTTGTTGTACTCAGTCTTGCTTAATTTGTGAAAGCATCACACATTTAAAGTAGCCCATTAGCTGCTTTCTAGCTGAGGATGAGTAGGTAAAGACAATTATTTCTACATTTGTAGTTGGAAGTAGTCGTAGATATTATCTAATTCAGTGGCTTTCTTCAAGATCTCAGTTTTCTACAGCTGTGTCTATGGGGTTATAGGGTGAAAGTTGGAATAAATGGCAGTTGAATCAAATCGTCCTCTTGTTTTCATTCAAGATGTCTACACCTTCAATTCTTCTTTTCTTTGCTGGGCTTTCATATGAGATTTTTAAAAAAATGTGTCCTGTGTATTTTTAAAATGAAACTTGATCTATTACAGTATATTCTACAGTTGGCAAATATATGAAATATTTTCTATCCTTCCCACTGCATTCATGCCGAGCACATACGGCATCAAATAATGGTATTTTATCCCACGAGTTCCAAGTAGATACAGTCTCAGTCTGTTATAGTACTCCTGGAAACTACTATCAAGCAATTGCACATGGTGTGATCAACATTTGTTATCTTTTCTATCACTTTCTATCTTCTTTATTCTTTAATGATTTGTAATCGAATGCTTCCATTTTTTCAGAAGAGAATAAAAGGCCCAGAATGGTAATGACTGTTACCAAGTCACGATGTAGCAAAATTGGTGTGTCACTTCTGACAGTTTCTCTAACTCCCAAACCAATGCATATTTTGATAATTGCCCTCATTATTTCCTCAAATATACTTCCCTGTCAGAAAAAAATGATTATATATAAAATTAAATGAGGAAAACTATTAATAATAAAATATCATGTTGTCTTGGGTTGCCTTTTACCAGAAGTAGACCCTGAGCAAATTATTTGAGTGCCAGCAACTTATTTCGGAGGTGATCCCAGGAAGCACAGCAAAGAAGTGAGTGAGACGGAGAAAAGAACACCAGTACAGTGTGAGTTTCATGAGCATGTCATCAGTGATAAAATGAGGTTCAGTACCACTTGAGACCACT
This sequence comes from Homo sapiens, assembly GCF_000001405.40. NCBI lineage: Eukaryota > Metazoa > Chordata > Mammalia > Primates > Hominidae > Homo > Homo sapiens. The sequence continues at coordinate 33,324,310 of NC_000023.11, forward strand.
AGGAGAATGATTTGTCTCACCTGAGAAGCAAGAAAGGTAGGGTAGTTCCCACAAACTCCCATGTGTAATGTGTTAAGAACAATAATCATTATAATTAAATAATGGATTATTAACTATCACAACATTGTAGTTCTATTAGTCTGAGCCTTAATGCATACAGATTTTTGCAAACTTCATGGAAGTTTCCATTTTATTTGAAATTAGTTTTTGATTAAAAATAATGGAACGCTCCTTCAATCAATTAAAAATATCAGCAGATCCATCTGCTTGGAAAATGATTCTTCCTGATGCTGGCTTCCATCCTACTGGTTGACATCATTACGTTGGGTTAAGCAGTGACATGGGTAATTGTTCTTAAAATGTGATCAATTCTCTTATTCTCCCACACACTTTTGACCTGCATTTATTCTCTATCTTTGTTATATTAAAGATTGTCAATGTTTTCCCTTAATTTGACAGCACAAATGAATATCAACATGGCACTATTGCCTCAAAATGGAAAAGGCAAAAAAGCAATCATGAATCACATGTTTCTTTAATATACAGTTACAGATTTTGAGTTCATTTCCACTTCTGATTGTGGTTATATCTTCCACCTTCCCTTTCCTTTCATGCCGTTTTATATTAAAGGTCAATATGTTCATTTATTAATTATGCAACAAGTGTCATGTTTACAATGTTTGTAAATGTAGTCACAGTATTTGATTTTCTTAATATAATAAAATTTATCCTCTGCTTTGGCTAATATAAGCCCACAAATGATCATTTCATTTTCTAATAAATTAAAAGTATAATGTATACAATTGGATTCTGTCAGGCTTGATGTGTCTTTTAAACACAGCACATTAAATTCCACTATGTATAAAAAGGACTGTATATAATGTCAATAGAGAATAAACAGAATTGCTACAAAAAGCATCGACATAAATGATTAAATATACATAGCTCTTGGCATGTGGCTTCCTGTTACACAGAATTGTGCTTTTTAATAATGGATAATTTCAAAACCAATTTGCTGGATACTTAATGCATCTTTGAGATTTTCCTTCCACAGAGAAGATTTAGGAGATTATAAAGTAATTAATTTGTTCACTTCTTTATTAATTTTCTAATATCACAAAGCTATGCATTAGAAGGAAGTAGGTATTAACATCTCATATCATTTGATACATCCACTGAATTCCTACGCTCTTTGCAGCCTCAAGGCACCTGTGTGCTGGCAGACTTTGCAGAGTACTACTGAAGTTGAGGCTGTAAACCAATCACGCATTTGCTCTGCTTTCATATTGCTGGCATTATACATCTGCTATTCGCCAACCCCAAATCCTTCAGTATGTAGTTCTCATTTTCTGATGAAAATTCAGTGGAAAAAATGGAAGTAGATATTTGCTTTTAATTTCAGGTATACTTTACAATAACCATGCTGCACAGTACAATTGGGTGATTGGTGAACTCCATCATTTTCTATTAGTGATGAAACAAGACAAATGAAGAACCACATTTTTGCTTTGTGTTACTTTACCAATATGCCTGAATCCATGTACCTTATAAACGAAACTGTCAATTTACTCTTCTATTATTTTAGGTGATGATTCCATTAAATTAAGACCTCTGGGGAGGTCATGTGTAAGTCACAAAGGAAATAGAGCCTTTAAAATACCATGTAGGGTAACTATCATACCATCATAACTAAATATCCCGACTTTTACGGTGTGAAATAGACAAAAATGGTAACTTGGGTCAACGCATTTCCCTAAACTGAATGAGGAGGAATCTTGACAATAGTACTGCTCGTGTACTATGGTTAGTAATATTAGAGGGAAGAAGGATGCAATGGAAATGATGTCACCTTAGGACTCAAACAAATGTCTTACTGGCTGTGTAACTCATTACTACTTTAAGTTAAACTTGAGTAGCTCCCTCCAGAAGAGCTAAGCAAAGGGTAAAAAAAAAAAAAGAATAGAGAATTCATGGCCCTCAGGCACTAATAGTTTATGAATAAATCAATAACCTGAAAAGTACATCACAGCAAAATAAGTGGTGAAACAAGTATTAGGAAGATTCTATGCACAGGGGTGCATGATTCAGCCAAAAGTAAAGAAGAGGCACTAGCTACACTATTTTGGAGGATTATAAAGCATGTACCAAGTAAATATATGTGAATAAGAATTGTTTATGACTGTGGGATGGAGTCAACATTTCCAAAGGCACATGAAAAGGAAGTGTGTTACAGTCAGAGAACTGTTTGTATGGCTAGGGTGAGGCATTCACATGGTGGATATAAGATTAGACTGAGCACATGGCAGGGAAATTGTTGTAAAGTACCTTCTCTTCATGCAAGTTATTTGAATTATAATCTATAAATAATATAAAGCCACCTGTGGACTTTAAGCAGTGGAATAACTTATTAAGTTTTGTCTTTGAGAGAGATAAGCCTAGCAGCCTTGTGAAGGGTAAACTGGAGAGAAGCAAGAAGGAAGGTACATTAGGAAGCTATCAGTGTATTCGAAGTCAGATATGGGGATCTAAACTAAGGTGGTGACTGTCAGGAGATATGGAGGGGGGATGGCAGAGCTAAAAGAAATTTAGGATACAAATAGGAGAAATTAGTTACATGGCTCTCTATAAAGAGGAAATAAGACTTCCTACCTTGCTTACCTCATATGGTTCCTATGTGAATAAATTAAACTTGAAAGTATTTTGTTAATTTTAAAGCTTTATACATTTAAGGAATTAAGATTATCAAGTACTTATGAATTAAATGTACTTGTTTTATTGACATTCCTATTTGTTCACATACAGTGAAACAACTATAAACATTTGCTTCACTTACTCCTTAAGAGGAAAGTAGCATGCTAGGTAACTCATCTGGATTTAAATTTCTAAGTGGAAGTACTATTGAGTATCTACTCTGCATGAAGCTAGGGAAGTGTGGCAAGGGGACTCTAGCCAAGGACTAGAAGATAGAGAGACTGAGAGCAAGTTGTTTCTCAGGCATCTGTGGAATGCTTCTCCAATGAACAAGAAAGAGAAAGAAATATTTGGAACTAAAATATGCATGAGAAGTAATCAACCTTGGAATAGGTTGCTAAAAAGAATTAAAAGATTCTTATAATAAGTTCAGTCTCTAAATGCAAGAAAAGTTTAGTAATAATCTGGTCTCTGGATATTAACTCACCTAATCCGTATTTAGGTTGCACATGAATAAGAGTTCCGTATTTAGAAAATTGTATTTATTCAATACAATGAATAAAATCAAGGCCAACGAAGTGACTTCTCTAATTACCGTTTTGGAAAAAAAAGATACAGAAAATGAATTATTTAATGATATTGGAAAAAGAGGTTATCCCTAAGACCTATGTATGGCAGAAGAACTAAAGGCAGGTAGTGACCCAAATCTGTATCACTAACTCAATTTCCTTCCAAGCAGGTACAGAAGTAGATCATGGAAGGAGTGAAATGCATAGAATCTTATAAAGATCTGGTTCTGATTAGAGCTGTTTCACAAGTAGCTTAATCTCACTTAGGCTCAGCTTCTAGATCTATAAACTAGGCATAATAAAACATTTTGGCGGGGGTTGTTCCAAAGATTAGCTAAAATAACGCATGAACTGCACCTAGCATGTTAAAAATAAATAGTAAATATTAATGTACTAGTAATTATGTTTTGTAAACTAAATTTTATCTCACTAAAAGAAAGTATTGTAAAATTTATGTTGTTCTTCATCCACTATAGAAAATGAAAACTTTTTGAATTAGAACCAAATTTGGAATGGGAACATCCAAGTAATAAGAATAAATGTGAAAAGAAACTGAATATAATAATAAAGTTATGAAAGAGGAAAAATAAAATCTGATGCCGAAAAGAACATATAGGTTTTTTTTGTTTTGTTTTGTTTTCCTTTGTTTTTTGAGACAGAATCTCACTCTGTCACCCAGGTTGGAGTGCACTGGCACGATCTTGACTCATTGCAACCTCAGCCTCCTGGGTTCAAGCGATTCTTCTGCCTCAGCCTCCCGAGTAGCTGGGACTACAGGCACGTGAGCCCACCTAATTTTTGTGTTTTTAGTAGAGATGGGGTTTCACCATATTGGCCAGGCTGGTCTCGAACTCCTGACCTCATGATACACCCACCTCGACCTCCCAAAATGCTGGGATTACAGGCATGAGCCACCACGCCCGGCCCATACAGGTTTAAATATTGCATGGCCATGCTATACAACAGTTTGTTAGCTGAAGATATTTTTGTTCACAAAATCAATGAGATTAATCACGCATCACTCTATACTTGCTATTAAAATTACTATGTCACGCATTTTGTGGCCTTCCAAAAGAGACAAGGAGTTTGAGTCACAGTATTAGACAAGACTAAAGACCCTACATGGTTTACTAGAAAAAAACCCTTTACTTCAGTGTCAGGAGACTTTTATTACGTATCTGGCCTTACTACTAACTGGAAGAAACTTAAAAGAAATGACAATTTCTCTATAAGTCACACTTTCCTCATCTTTCAAACTAAGATATGGGACTAAATATTCTTTAATGGTCTCCGGGTTTTGAAATTCTAAGTTCCTATAAAAGATATCTGTCTAGATGTTTGCAACACATACAATAAATGTAGGGACCATATAAAAATGTAAAGATCTCATACCTATAAAAACCAAAATTGTAAATCAATAGAAAAATGAGCATGAGATTAGAAAAGTGCACTTTTATATATTTGTGTTATAGTTCAGTAAAACATTTTAAAAATCAAGTTGATAGAATTACTTTCTTTAATCTACAAAGGGAAATTACTAATGAAAGTTGGGAGGAAATGTTATCCTTACTATAGATAACATCCACATGAGCAATAAACACAAAAAATGGTTCTCAAATTAATTAGTCACTAGAAAAAAATGGAAATGAGAAACACAATGAGATACTATAGTATAACAGCCAGAAAGGCTGAAATTAAAGACTAATAATGCTAAGCATTGACATGTCCAGAACTTCTATAAAGTAATGATGGTTCTTTGTTTACCTACCTTGAAAAACTACGTGGCATTTTCAACTAAAGATGAGTATTTCACTATTCTATGACCTAATAATTCTACTTCTTGGCACATAACAGAACTACATGCATATGTGCAGTAAATTTGCAAGAATATTCAAAGTGGAATTATTTTTAAGAGTTCACAAATGGAATCAATTTAAATGTTCATCCAGAGTAGATGGAATAAGTAAATTATAGGACATTTATATGATGGCATACTACACAACACTGAAAATTATGGGACCACAACTACAAGAAACAAATTAGATAGATCTCACAAACAGAATGTTGAGATTTAGGAGCCAGAAACAAAAGAGTACAGCTGTATGGCTTCAAGTACATACATTTCAGGAACTGTCTGTCCTAATCAATGGTGTGTTAGATGTCAGTATTCCACTTACCTCTGGGAGAGTATTGACTAGGAAGTGGTAAGACAAAGTTTTTGGATGCTGGTAATATTCTTTTCTTGCCTTGAGTAATTACTGGGGTGTGCCCAATCTGTGAAAATTCATGAAGCTGGACACCTATTGATTTGTGAACTTTTATATATTCGTGTTATAGTTCAGTAAAATGTTTTAAAAATCAAGGAGGACAGAAATACTTTCCTTAATCTATAAAGGGAAATTACTAATGAATGTTGGGAGGAATTTTTCTTTGCCTTTAGCCTATATATCTAAGTTACTTCAGCGAGTCAGAGATATAAATAGATATATAGATAAATATATACATATATGTGTATATATGCATATCTATATATGTCAGAAGAAGGGAGAGAGAAAGAGGAGAGAGAGAGACTTTTTTCGATAATTAAATTCTTTAGAAAATGTACTGCTTGAGAGAGAATGACTTTCTGGATGATTCGATTCTTCAGAAAATATCTTGTTTACCTGTCTCTTTTTAATTTCCTAGGAGGAGTTGGGTGTGAGGCTGGAGATCAATTAAATTGGAAGATGTTGAAATTGGATAAAACCTTACGGATTATCTAACACAATTTCTTATTGTTACAGGTTTATTTGGCAATAGATCTATTCTATCTGAGATGTTATCCTTTCAGCCCTCCTTTGTAACCTCTGAGGTCTGATTCTGTGATTAATTTAACTTTATACATGAGTGAAACATTTTCAGGTAGCTTCTAATTAAAGAGTGTTAGACATTGAGATAAAATATGACAAGGTCTCTAAAGATAGCATAGGAAAAAGTTTCCAGGGATAGACGTACATAAACTACCAATGGGAGGTAACTGTTTTCAAATCCTCCTGAAAGTTTGCATGGTCATGCTCATGCTAGCTTTAATCATATTTAATATCATTGTATGCAACTGGCTTTTAGACCAGCCTAGACATTTTCCTTCTAGGTTTGATTCCAGTGAAGATGAGCAACAGGTGGAAGGCATGCTCCTTTTTATTTCAAGTGACACTTCAAATATGTCGCTTTACCCTTTACTTTGAATTACTATTTTTCACTGGATTTGCTTTCTTTCTGTTCAGTTATCATTTTGCTCTTTGATGGACTTGCCAGTTTTTCCACATCACTCACACTAGGAACTCCGGAAACCTCTAGCTCAGTCCTAAGTCAGCTTTACTGTCTGGGTTCACAGTTGCTGTTGCTCTCTGCTTAGCTATTCACTGTAAATATTTTTCTCTTCTCATCCACATAAACCACGTTCGTCTCTAAATTCCTCAGGGACTGTATCTTAGTCATCTTGCTCTAGCACAGAGCCTGGCAGTTAGAATTTATCAATAAATATTTGTTGGATGAATGAAAAGCAGCAGAAACAACCTTTCATTTCAGTTGGTGGGCTCTAATCCTGTCTGGATGACCTAATGGAGAAATAGACTCTGTTTCCTGCCACTGTGGCCACCAAAACCAGCCCATGAATGGGTCAGCAGCCAAAGGGAGAGGAACCTGAGATTCCTACTCACTAATGTGTCCATCACATGCAGGCTTTTACTTAATCTCCTTTTTACACTTGTCATAGAACATAAATGAGTCCCACATCTCCCCTAAAACCCATACAATTTCAGGTTAGCATTAGTGTCACTTTCAATAATCCAGCTTATTGTTGCTGGACCGAACAATTCTACTTATAGCATGTATAAAAGAAATCTGTACTAGTAAAAACAGACTATGATGGTCCTTATCACATTTTATCCTGGGAGTGTTATAATCAGTTGTAACAATGTCATGACCAGAGCTGAATGATGCTGATAAGTTTATTTTCCCTTAGCTCTTTGTATTCATAACCCTGTCTTCAAATTGCAACATAATGTCAATATTTCTTCTGGAAATTTGATAAGCACCATCCATTTACCTTCAGGTGTACATTGACAGCAATTAATCTCTGCGTACCACCTACGTTTCCAGTTGTCATCCTGTACCTCCTCTATAAACGTTTGCTCAAAAGAACATCTCAGTTTTACTTTTGTCTAGACAATATTTTTACCCATTTGCTTATTTACTGCAGTGCACTTTAGGCTGTAACCCCAAAGCTCAAGAAAATAAGTTTTTTGGAAGCCAGTCATGTTAGGCATATAATTTATATGTTTATAATTTAAGTCATCTTTTCAAAAGTAGTATATATATTGAATATTTAAAGTATTCTTGTTTTATTCAGATGTCACATTTTATATTGCAATTAGTATCTATAGGTCAAAATGTATGGAGTTATAAAAAAGGTTTTCTTTAAAAAATTTGCTTTCCAACACTATCAAAGGAGACACTGAAACATTACAGCTAACTTGAGTTTTTTCATTTAATTTAAAGATAGTGTGAACAGGTACTGAAGACACTGTCTTACATTTTACTAATATCTATATAGAGTGGATTAAATTTGTGAAAACATATATCTGCACAGAGTCTATAAATTTCTCAAGGTCAGAAAATAAACCATAAAAAGATTTAATTCCTCTAAAGCTTTAAGCATGCTAACATTTGTTAACTTGATCTTATAAAATGACATTTGAGATGTGTTTATCTTCCAACCTAAAATATTAATTTTTATTGATCAGGTTATAAGTTTTTGCTTACTTGCAATAACTTTATTATTTTTTCTGTTGACCCTAACATATAACAAATGAAGACATGTGCAGATATAACATGTTAAGAAGATAAATAAAACATCAACACTCATGTTAACACTGCAAATACACATGAGAGCTTTATACTAAGACGGCCATCTCCTCCCTCTGACTTATATTTTCCTGAAGGACATTTACATAGCATAAATATTTTAAAGACTTTTGGCTATTTGATGACACCTTGAACATATACTTTGAATCTAAGGGAAAGGAGAGTCATATTTATCTCCTTTCTAAAACAATTCAAATGTGATGTGTCCCTATTTGCTAAGCTGAAAGTAAGATGAAGTCAAATAAATGGAAAATCAAATATTTTTAAACTTCTAGGAGCTTTTTGTTTGCTTTTTTGTTATTTTAATAAGAGAAACAAAGTAAAACATGTAAAAACACAAACTCTCACCCAGCATCCTCTTACGAAATACCCAATTTTCAAATAAGCAGTACTATTTGCTCTATTTATTACTGGTCTTTAAGAGAAATAGACCTAAAAAAGAACATCTTGGAAGGCTAGTGTACTTTCATAATTCCCTGAGAAGCTCAGTGATTATGAGTAATGTGAACCAGAGTTCAATATTCTTACCCTTGGAATCAGGAAAAAGAAAGTCCTTTAAAAGATCAAGATCTTTGATAGCAGTAACAAGAACTAAATTTGCCAGGGGTAGAGCCGTCCTCTTACCAATTTCAGGCAAGAAGCAATCTTTTCTTGAGTAGCGAAAGGCAAGCCAACTAAAGAAAAAATCTGTGTGACTTCAATTACATAAAATTGACTAGATGGTTAAAAAACAATACTTTCACAGAATTTTTTCTTTCTGTAAAACTTTACTTGTATGTTGGTTCTTATTTCATTCAGAGATATATTAAGAGCAAATGAAATTGTGAAATTATTTTCAAATACACAAAAAAAGCTCCCCCACGACAACTTTTTCTCAATTGCCTCTTTTGCCTTTCCTCAGTTTTATAGTCTTCAGTGGGTCTCCCTCATTGCTCCATATTCCTAAGCCAACAGGAAGAATTTCTTTCAGACCCTTAAGCCTTGTGTCTGTTACCATAGAGACAGGCATCACAAAGTAGCTGCTCAGGAACATCCTCATGGAAATACAATAAGAATCCTATGGGTTTTACAGGAATTTCCAGCGCTACCAGTGAGCAGAAATTATATCTTTCCCTAGAAAAAAAATGTGGGGATTTTAGTTGCACATTATGGAACTATGGAGATTGTAATATTTGGTGGTAAATTCAGAATCCCTCAGCTTTATGCTTAGAATTTGATTATAGTTTCTCCTATGACATGAAAAAAAATCCCTTCTCATATCCCTATGTTCAGGAAAATATAAATAACTCATTGCTAATTCTTAAATTTAGCATGTCTTATCAATCATTTACTAAAACCCTTAACTGTTCTTTTATAGTGCAGTGCATTTGTTTTATCTTGATCCCTTCTAGAACATATTTGATCAAGAACACACTCATAATGTTATAAAAGTAAGTCTCTAAAACTGCAATTCCAAAGCTGCTGAGAGAGTCTATAAACCCACGAAGAGAGAAGAGGGTAGCTGCAAGAAGAAAATTCCACTCACTTTACCTTGTTTTCCATTGACTTTCACCCTTTCTGTAAGTCTACTGAAATCATACACTAACGGAAAAGCAGCAATAAAAATAACAGAATCCTACCAAATAGGTAAATTCAGCAAGATTAATGGAGTCAAACTAGGCAGATATTATATATAAGTCAATGATTGCAGAGACTTCAATTTTTTATGGAAACATTAAATAAACATTCCTCAACAAGTAAATTATCTCAATAGACTAACAGCCAAATGAAACCATCTTTATCTGTTAGGCTGCATATTTGAACTACTTTTCCAAGTCTCTAGTACTTAAGTAGTATGGGTGGTTACAATTTCTGTTTATGGTATAGAACTGTTATTTAACTGTTACATTGCTTGTTTAGATACTTGAGTCAATAAGCAAAAAACAAAATTTCTTTATAGTCTAGAGATGAGGTGAGCAAACTTTTCCTATCGAGGGCCAGATAGTAAATATTCCTGCTTTGTGGCCCACATGGTCTCTGTCATAAGTACTCAACTGTGTTTTAGCATGAAAGGAGTCCTATATAGCATATAAACAAATAAATGGGTGTGGCTGTCTTCCAAATAAACTATAGACTCTTAAATTGAAATTTTATATAATCTCATGTGTCAGAAATATTCTTGAAATGAAACAATTCAGAAACGTGAAAACCATTTTAAATGACTGGTCAAACAGTAATAGATGTGACAATGTGGACTATCATTTACTGACCCCTAGCCTGGATGATGCGAGTGGAGTAGTAGAGACCCTCAGAGAAATAAATGTCTAAAAAAAAGAACATGTTTTTAAAAGAAATGATTGGACTCACAGATTCTTAGTTAAAAATTATCTCAGACATCTTCTTCAATTTCCATTTAGTGCAGAAACTCCATTCTTAGCACTGAACACTTTAGGAATAAGGAGTGCAGTGTCTCACAAAGTAATCAATTCTCTGCTCACAACATTAACTGGAAGAATACTTTTCCATTGCTACCAAAGAGGTGCAAGTGAGTCTAAACCCTCTTCTGCATTATAGCACATCGAATATTTGAAATCAGCTTAATTTTCTCTACTTTTTTCCTTCAAGTATTCTTCAACTTTTCACTTTTCTAGTACTTTCCATGCCCCTCAAATGTTATAGTTTGTAGGACCTTTTAGCATTCAGACACTTTTCACTGAACATACCCCCAAATGTTAAGGTTCCTCTTAGATCATGGTGTCCTTCTAAAATATGTATATATTACCACATATAATATATACATATACCATACCTATCATATATATACACACACACACCATTATATCATATATATCCTTCTAAAATTCGTTCTCATTTTTTTCATTTCCTTTTTCAGGATACATGTCTAACAATATTACTTTGTTTCATTGTATTTTGATGTCATATGAATTATGACTGATAATAATGATGACCAACAAAATCAGTAAGATTTATTCAATTAATTATTACTAAGCTTTAACTCTCTCATGTCCTGTACTTGCCAGATTGATTTTATGAACCTTAGCTTAGGATGTTATACTTATTCCTATTACAATTATTCTCTTTGACCTCACCACAGTTTTTAGGTGGTCATAATCCTTTGGTACCCTAATAGTTCAATGTATTTGTTCTGCTTCCCAGATAGACAGGCTATCTGGATCGTCCTTCAGTTTTTGGACATTAATATTTCACAGGCCAAGTAGGTTCAAGAACAGAGACATAAGGCACATTACAGAAGATTAGGTTCAAGTCAGATGGAACCAATTTTATAGAACTATGCTATAGTCCTGTGAAAGGCCCTCTTCCTGGTTTACTGTGATTCATTAATTGATACATCACAGGCAGGGTCATTTAGCCAGCTGATTTATTGACCAGACTCTTATGTCAAACAGCAAATATTTCTCCATTTTCACCATATGGGCATCATAAAAATCTTTACCAAAGTCCATGCTATAATCAAGATAACTAGCCATATTACATACTTTTCAGATAACATTGGAGAATCACAGCATATATTATCTTTGCACTCTTTCTAAACCATCTCACCTTCTTCAGGAATTGTCAGTTACTCCCAGTGAAGAAAAAATATTGCATATTTTTCTGGAAAAATATTTCCAGTTTTAAGTAATTATTTACTCTCCACAATCTAATTATGGACTTTCCTTCCTATTTTTCACTTTAGTTTATTAACTCCAGGACCAACTAAAATATTGTCGTGGCTTTCTCTTTTTAAACAGTTCTGACTTTTTTTTTTTTCCAAAGCGTGTGTGTGTGTGTGTGTGTGTGTATGCACATGCTTAAGTGGTTTGTTTTTATTTGCTTTTTCCTTCTTAAAAGATGGATTATATGAGAATGGGAGGATAATAGGATGGAGCAAGCTTCTCAGGCAAAACATTTCAAAGCATATTTCTTAACCGATAGTGTCTTCCCCTGCTCATCTTTCTGAAGAGCAACACCTGAGAGGCAGCTACTCTAGCTCATGTGGGAAATTTCACTTGACAGTCTTATCACAAAAAGAGAAATAAGGGAGATTTTTTTACTTAAAAAATAATGATGCTCAATAAAATTTTTACCTAAAAGAGATAAATAATTGTTTTAGAATATAAATGCCTTAGAGAAAACAATCTGAGTTTGAGAGAATTGGGGAAAACTCACATAGATTTATAAAAGTCACTAATTCTGGATTTAAAAATATATTAAAATGTTTGCAGTCTATTTCATTGTGTCCCACTTCTCTTTCACACCTTCTATTTTTATGCATTTCTCCTTCATCGTTTTTTCTTCCTTAAAGCACTTCAGAAGACACAGGATTAAGCAATTGGGATTTGAAGACTTCACGTGGTCTCATCACTCTGCAGGCTGACCCTGTTTTAGAGCAAGAAATATTGGCAGACATTTCCAGCTCTTACAATGCATTTATCAATAAGGGTTTGCCTGCTCTTCAGGTGCGTGGCATATAGACTTTACGATTTCATTAATAATCAACAGCTGGTGCCACCTAGCGTCTGTCCAATCCATTCATCAGTGGGACCAAATACAGAGCACTTTCTAACCGCAAATGAAGCAAGCCTAAACTATAAACTAAAAAATACAAAAACACAGTTTGGGGATTCCAGTGGCTGATTTAAAGTACGCTATCTTCATTGAAAAAGAAAAACCTTCTTTTAAAAGTAACTATGGTAACAAGAGAGTGAGGCTAGAAGGAAGCTCACATTTTTTCGAAGGAGACAATTCACAAAAGGAGAGTCCTACTAAAGATGCAGTGTAAAAGAGTTTTTACAGTCTTGAATGGTCACTTAAAACGGTTATAAAAAGTTGAAAAGTAACATTGGCCAAAGAGGGCTGTATTTTAAACAACAGTATAGACAGAGCTGAATTTTCTCAACCAACCACAAAATAACCCTGTAGCATTTGGATGCAAAATTCTGTCAGTCTTTGAGCTTCCCAAAGATTAACCAAGTTCTGTAACACACTATACAAAAGCATCTACAGTACTTAAAAGTATTAAACGGAAATAATCAGAGTGCCTGAACCACATTATAAAAAAAAATTCTTTGCTGCTAAAATGATACATCTAGAAAACTATTTTCTTTCCTGCTGTATATATGAATTATGAATGATATTCAACCACGGTAATGTATGCTTCAAGGTTAAAAAGTAGTCATCCAAATCCTTGACTATTTTTCAAAACAGAAGTTAGCAATTATTTTGGAGAAATCCTAGTGTAATTAGCCCACCACTTGCTAATTAATTTACTGATATTTAAATACATGTTGTTTTTAACTCACCCTTTCTAAGAGGAATACGTAATTGAAAACCATGGACTAACATTCAGAAAAAAAGTTACATAACAGCCAATAGTGTTCCTTAACCAGACTGACTGGGATATTACAATTACTACAGAAAAGGCACAGCACATACGAGTAGCACTGTGTACACTGAAAGGTCATATTAGATGTACATATATGATAGTCTATTAACTTGGATGATTTAGCTCCTCAGGCTATGGAGGAGACTGGGTAGAGAGCCGAAAGATTCTGTATTACATAGACAGTTAATAATCAGGCTTTTCACACTTAGGAAAATCTATTTCTATATTATTTAACATCTGTTTTAAACAATCACTTGTTAAATGTTTGAATGTTTTATTTGCTTGTTACCCTAGTGGTGATAAAGATTATTTCAATATGTTCAGTCTGATTACAGTCACTGACAGATCCCCATGACAGCATGTGAAGATAGGTTATAGAAACGATGCATAGTTTATACAAAAAGCATAAATTGCTCCCCTTTCTCCAAAAACTTTATTTTTGGAGCCAAATACTGTCCATGCTCATGCTCCATTTGCTTAAAAGTACTTATAATTATAATCCACTGATTGTAGGGGAAAGAAATATTGCAAAACAGAGAAAGGGTTCTAAAAATCGTACGCAGGCAAGAAAGAATGTAAGACAAAACTCATTAAAGGGCAAAATAAATAAATAAATAAATAAATAAATAAATAAATGCTCACATTTTCAATAATTTATCACTTCTGTCATTTTTCATTAACAGCCTTCAAAGCCCTATCTGAAACAAGCTGATACAGAGAAATTAAGAGCAGTAATCAAGCGAGAAATCATAGACCAGCTGGGTCGACATCAACTTGGCAAAACGTGAATACAGTTCAATAGCTGAAACAGATGCTAGAGTTGTTGAAAAACCCTGCAGGAGATATTGATATATTTTCTTCATATAATGCAGAATGACTGAATAAATGTCAAAAGCTAGAAATTGATGAGGAGAAATGACTGACAGCCAAACTCCTTATAAAATAGAAACCAAGTATAACAATTTTCAACCTATCCAAACATTCTGTACATTCTCATTTCTCTCACTGTCTGAATATGCCAATACATCAATCAGTTCTTGCAACTAAATTGCATATAACTAATCTGGGGTAGATTTCCCCGAAGATTTTTTTCCCCCTGTCATCATCTACCTGAAGAAACCTAGACTCCTGAACAATACTTTATTCTAAAATCTTCTAACACTGATTTCTATCCCAGAAGTGTTTTCCTGAGGTTGGAGGCAAGCACACCCCCTCCCCAAAATCTAACGCAGCACAAGGCAATTTTAAAATCCATTCTGTAAAAGCAACACTGTTTGCAGAGTTTGAAGAGCTCGGCAACAAACCCCAGCTACCAACAGCTGCTTGTTCAAACATATGCTTTGTCATGGCCAGCTTCTAATTGTATTTGTAATGATGTAATAGCTTTAATAATCCTACCTTCCATGCCAGCTGTTTTTCCTGTCACTCCATCATGCCAATAAGTTGGCTGCTGTAACAAATCAAGATAGTGCAAAACAGCATCTTTCTCCTGATTCTGTCATCTTCCTGAAAGCATTCTATTACTGCCGACTGCTGGGAACCAGAAAGTCTATTTGAATTCCAACAGCTCCCCTTTCGCATGATTCAAGTTAGGTTAGGTGGGCATGCCTAACATGATTCTTTCAGTCATTTATTATGCAGCTGCTACAACGTCGGTGTGGTAACCACTCTGACTATCTGATACGTCAGTCGAACAAAACCTATACCTCGGAGCAAACACATGAGCCAGAGCAGCGTTTGCATTTAACGAGCATTCTTCCTGCCTAAAAAACAGTGGATCTGCAAATCTCTTTCAGTATCTACTCGCTCTTCTGTACAGATGCAAAGCCTTTGGATTAGATTATTTTCCTAAGTGTAACAATAGTAGAGTTCCTCGCCAAACATCATATTATTCACACTGAAATTTTGGCTGATTTTTACTTATCTTCACAGCCTTTTAAGGGTAAAAACTCTCTTCTGAATTGTACTTTTGCAATAAGATGTTGTGTGCTCAGCTCCACATTTCTGCGTTGTAAAATATAGCATGCACTTTCTCAAATGGAATTTGCCTCTTGTGACTCTATAGCAAATTTTCAAATAAGAGGATATTTCAAGAAAATATTATTTATTTTGCACACTGGAGATATTTAAAGTCTGGCACCCTGTATGCTTCTCCCAAGGGTAGACTTTATACTTGATATTTTGACTTTAGATGAGTGATTTCTTCACAAAGTAAGAAATTAGATTAGCTGAATCTCTTACACAACTTCTTTAACAAGTAAATAAATGCTATTCAGGAAAATGCATTTTGTATTTTAAAAATACTAATCGTGAATCAGTATTTGTTAAAAGAAACTGTAATTGTTATCAATTATACCGTATAATTTTCTCTAAAACTTCCAAGTTTGCCTGTCTTGGGGGCACTTATGGTTTGAAATTATAACACAAGAAAGTTTAAGTGTTTTCATGAGAAAAATTAATAAAATCATATGTTTCCTCTCAG